>NC_000010.11:18191818-18343333 GCF_000001405.40 Homo sapiens | reverse complement strand
GGTAACAATAATAATAAAAAAAAACCTGCCCAAATCAGAGAGATCATTGTTATTTGGAGGAAGGGAAGAAAGGATAGAGAGGAAGTGACCATCTGGGTCTAAGAATAATGGCACTCAATTGCAGTTATTAAAGATACCATGTTCAAGAAATTTACAATGCAATGATACCAGGATTCATAAATAAATTATGCACTTAAAACTAGTTAGACTGATCTATATATATTTGCCTTTGGCGGTAGAAAGTAATTACACCAAATTGCATTGGTTTATTGATTTCATTTTAATGCACAATGAGAATTAAATGGGTAATTTCTAAATGTGTTTCCTGCATTTGAGGTTTGGAATGACTTTAGAAGGTACTGAAATAAACTGAAACTGATATAAAAACTGAAATCATACTTGCGATTAGAACAAAAATAAAGACCACACAGTTTATTCAGCATTCTAAACAACTATCCCATAATACATATACAGGCACATATAAATATACATATATAAATATACATATGTATAATTTAAAAAATTATCTCCATTTATATTCTTGTCCAAACTTGAAAGAATTTCTGTCATTATTGGAGAACTTTGAGAAAGACTGAATTTAAAGTGTTGAATGGTTATAAAGACTTTAAAAAGAGTTGTTTTAAACTTTAACCATTCAAAAATCCAAAAATCCATGTGTTTATAAGCCCTATTCAAGCATACTTATTAGTTAAAATGAGAGGTAGCCAGGCCATAGGAAACAAAAAGTCTATTTTTAGGAAAGAAGTAATTTAAAAGACTAAACATCCCTGTGCAGATTCCCCATGATACTTAAAGATAGGACTAAAATTAATTGTAGGATAAATTATTCATGTGATAACTATTATTTCTGTAGACACAGATCTTGCTATGCTGCCCAGGCTGGTCTCTAGCTTCTGGCCTCAAGCGATCCTCCCACCTTGGCCTCCCAAACTTTTGGGATTACAGGTGTGAGCCACCATACCTGGCCTCGTGACTATTTAATATCATATAGATTGTCATTCTTATTAAATAACTGTGACATAATTGTGACCAGTTTTGTTGCTGAAAATATTCAAAATGGCCAATGGAATGTATTTGGCAATTTGCATTTTAGGTTATACATGTTTTCGTAATTCACAGAATTCCGCTGCAGGAAAAAATATAGCAGTTATTTCATGTTTGATAATATTCTTAAAAAGCAAGCAAGTTTACAGGAAATGATTCCAGATGTACTCAAACAGGTACAGAATAATTTCTAAATTGGACATGAGTAGCATTTGATAGGTGGGCGTGACATATCTAATGCCCAGAAACCGTTGATAATTAGTGTATACATTGCCAGCCATGTCAGAACCTAAAGAAATAGAATTGTCACGTACAATACTTAATGAGGGCCAACTCAGCAAGTAAAATTCTGTATCTTTAGAAAACTTAAAGTAAAATCTAATAAAAGAATCATCAAAATCACATAAAAAGTATCTCAGTTTCCAGTTTTATATGATACAACATAGAAGAAATGACCACAAAGATATTTCCTAGCAAGCATTTTTTTCTCTATTATACTAAATTTAGTATAGGTTGGAACAATTAGAAACAAAAGAAGTACTTAAAATAATTTTTAGACAAACTATTAATTTTAAAATGGTATTTTCATGTCCTATTAGCACAGATATTTGTAACTTTATGACTTTTATTTTTACGGGCTCTGGTTTAGTTTTAGGTTCAGGGTTTTTTTTGTGCATGTTTTCATCCTTTCCTAAAAAGGCACCAATAAATAATAATAAAGTCTTTTCTTTAAAAGTTCTAAACCAAATCCGAAGACCCAAACAGTCAGTCCTCGTGTGGCAAAGCTTTATGTTTAAGTATTTTAAACTTTAGACTGTCATGTTTGTATTTTATTAAATTCAAAATTTCTAAAGTTGATGAATAGTAAAAGAATCTTAATTTGCAGCAACACAGCAAGTCAGACCATCCTGATTTACACAGATAGGTCTCAGACACACAAGAAGTCAGTGGCTAGGCTGTCAGAGTGATACTCAAGACAAGTGCTGGTCTATAGCTGGAAAAAGCATTTTCATTTTCCACTAAATTTGTCTGCACCGGGACTCTCTCCCTAAGCTACTAAATGAAGCTCAGTAACATACAGTTTAAAACCAGAGTTACAGTTTCACTTGCTTAAATCACCACAGCATTAAAGTAATAACACTGTGAATGGCAACATTTCTGGCAAGATAAGAAAGTCTAAAAAGTTAAGTAACTAGTATGATTTTAGCTCAAGCTCGGCAACAGTTCTATGCATTCCTGTTTTCTTTAAACCGCACCGTGCATCTGGCCGGCTTCTCTCCCGTATGCTTACCCCAGGAATAATGTATTTAGTTTGAGGAGCTATAAGGCGTCTGTCAAGCATGCTAGACCAATTCCAAGTGCGCCCAGCACTCCAGCAGGAATTTTCTTCACAGGAGCAAGAATTCAGGACTAGCTAAAAGGCAGCCAAGTCTTGCTTTGCTGAACAGCATAGCAACTGCTTTCCTTTTTCTTGCTGGCTTGGGGTGTGTAGTCTTAGTTAGTGTGACTTTCTAAAGTTCGTCGGATCACAACAGCTCTCTGTTCCAGAACCACTTAGGCAGAGCAGAGGAGCTCATCAAAGTCAATTAACAAACGCAAGTGGGAGGGTCTTATTCTCCTCTGAATTACGTCAGCTGGCTTGGAAGACAGACGCCTGCAAACTTGTCAAAGTACAGTAACACTTCATTAGTATCAGATGCGACAGGTCCCTCCAGGCAGCCAGGACTCCAGCCCTGCTCGAGAATCCTTTCTTCAGAACAGAACAACAGGTTGCATAACTGGATAAGCTGTTAGCATTCAAAGAAACTACTGTCTTGAAAGTCTGCAATAAAAGTAAAAATATTTTTCTACTCCCACCCACTGAAGAAATATTTTCTCTTTTGCACACAAGAAAGTGATATCTTTCTTTTTTCGTTGCCTTTCAAGTTCTCAGTGTGTATGGAAAATCTAATTTTTTTCACAGTCAAATGAGTATCACTTGGAGACATTTACCTTTTGTAAATTAAAAACTTCTTTATATTAAAAGACAGCATTAAACATTGAAATAATAAACACAATATTCTGAGAGCATGCTTGCAACACACACATATATGTATATATATAGGTATTACTATCCAGGAAATAGAACTCCTATAAATCAAAAGGCTCACAACCAAAAGACCCACAACTAAAAGAACATGGAAAACAAGACGTGAATAGATAAATCATAGGAGATAAAATTCTAGTGGTCAATACACAGGACTTCCTTTCTAATCAGGAAATACAAACTGAAATCACAGTTTACCATTTTGCATCCATCATGGTGGAAATATTTTTAAAAAATCTGAAAATCTCAGATCTTGGTGAAAATGTCAAGAAGGGGATGGCAAGCTATGGCCCACAGTCAAGCTCAGTCAGCCACCTGTTTTGTATAACCTACAAACTAAGAATGTGTTTTACATTTTTAAATTACTGGGGAAAAAATAAAAAACAGAATGGTATTTTGTGGCACATGACAATTACCTGAAATTCAAATCAATGTTCTTAAATAAATGTTTATTGGAACATACGGGCTTGTTCATTTACGTATGCTCCATGGCTGCTTTTGTGCTCTTTACAAGAGCAGTCATTGCAACAGAGACCATGTAACTCACAAAGCCTTAAATATGTCCTACGTGGCCCTTTACAGAAAAGGTTTGTAAGCCTGTGATGCAGAGCAACTAGACTTTCACATACTGTTGGTGGGAGAATATCTTAGTTATTTATTTAGAGATGGAGTCTTGCTGTGTTGCCCGGGCTGTAGTGCAGTGGCGCGATCTCGGCTCACTGCAACCTCTGCCTCTCAGGTTCAAGCCATTCTCCTGCCTCAGCCTCCTGAGTAGCTGGGATTATAGGCCAGTGCCATCACAGCTGGCTAATTTTTGTATTTTTAGTAGTTACGGGGTTTCAGCATATTGGCCAGGCTAGTCTCGAACTCCTGACCTCAAGCGATCTGCCTGCCTTGGCCTCCCAAAGTGCTGGGATTACATGCATGAGCCACTGTGCCCAGCCTGTTGGTGGGAGTATAAACTGGTACAGTCACATTAGATATTTAGCAGGATATAATGAAACTGTTGATGCACAAGTACTCAGGCTTGGCATCCCACCCCTCAGTACATACCCAGGGATACCCTCACATGAGTACACAGGGAGGTGCATGAATGAAATGTCCCTAGCTACACCGAGGGGCTGTAGTAAAAAACGGGAAACAGGCTGGGCATGGTAGCTCACGCCTATAATTCCAGCACTTTGGGAAGCCGAGGTGGGAGGATCATTTGAGCCCAGGAGTTTGAAACCAGCCTGGGCAACAAAGGAAGACCCCGTCTCTGCAAAAAAATTTAAAAATTAGCTAGGCATGGTGGCATGTGCCTGTGGTCCCAGCTACTTGGGAGGCTGAGTTGGGAGGATCATTTGAACCTGAGAGGTAGAGGCTGCAATGAGCTATGATCATACCACTGCACTGCAGCCTGGGTGGAGCCAAGACCCTCTTTCAAAAAAAAAAAAAAAAAAAAGGAAAGAAGGAAAGAAGGCAGGAAGGCAGGAAGTCAGGAAGGAAGGAAGGAAGGAAGGAAGGAGAGAGAAAAAAAGAAAAAGAGAGAGAAAGAAAGAAGGAAGGAAGGGAAAGAAGGAAAGAAAAAACCTAGATGCATATCAACAGAAAAGTGGATAAAATTTTGGATACTATTCAGTAGTGAAAGTGAAGGGTCTGGAAGTTACCTACTTGAGTAAATCCCTACAAACACAATGTTGATAGAAAAATCAAGTTTTGGAACTTTAAGGTACCTTGAGAACCTATGTGTACAAGGGTTCCCTTTTCTCCACACCCTCAACAACACTTGTTATCTCTTGTCCTTTTGATCACAGCCATCCTAACAAGAGTAAACTAGTATTTCATTGTGATTTTGACTTGCATTTCCCTGATGATTAGTGATGTTGACACCTTTACATATATTTGTTGGCCAGAGTTTTATGTCTTCTTTGGAGAAATGTCCATTCAGGTCCTTCATACATTTTAAAATCAGGTTATGTCTTTTTTCCGTTCTGTGAGTTCTTTATATATTTGGGGTATTAACCCCGTATCAGGTATGTAATTTGAAAATATTTTTTCCCAACCCACAGGCTGCCTTTTCATTTGGATAACTATTTCCTCTGCTATGAGAAAGCTTTTTGGTTTGGTGTAATCTCACTTGTTTATTTTTGTTTTTGTTGCCTGAGCTTTTGGTGTGATGTTTTAAAAAAATTATTACCAAGGCCAGTATTCAGCAGCTTTTCCACAATGTTTTCTTCTAGGAATTTTATGGTTTCAGGTCTTTAATCCACTTTGAGTTGATTTTGTTCATGGTATAAGATAACGATCCAGTTTCATTTCACTGTGTGTATGAATATCAAAACATCATGTTGTACACCTTAATATATAGAGACTTTTTTAAAAAGAACCTATGGTATGATTTGCAGCAAAGTTGAAAATATGCAGAAATACTATATATTTTATGCAGGTGGTAAAACATGTAAAAAAATAAATATGAAAATAATGAATGCCAAATCCAGGATGGTGGTTATGTCTGGAGAGGAGTATATTTGGAAGCGTTAGTGAGGGGAAGGGGCAACTTTATCAGTAATATGTTTTCAAAACTAGATCACACCTACATCATTGGTCATTATAATATTTTCTATGCTTCTTTGTATTCTGAAATAATTTATAATAAATAAATGTCTAAAGTTAGGAAAAACTGTTAAAAATTTTTGATACAAAAAGTGCTAGACCACTGTGGCCATTAAAATGCTTATGAGACACTTCCATTACATAACAAATGCTACAATGGGTAAGAGTAAATAAAAGAAAAAAGTAGGCCGGGCATGGTGGCTCACGCCTGTAATGCCAGCACTTTGGGAGGCTGAGATGGACGGATCACTTGAGCTCAAGAGTTCAAGACCAGCCTGGGCAATAAAGAAAGACCTCAGGCATAGTGGTGCATGTCCGTAGTCCCAGCTACTCAGGAGGCTGAGATGGGAGGATTGCTTGACTCCAGGAAGTCGAGGGGGCAGTGAGCCAAGATTACGCTACTACACACCAGTCTGGGCAACAAGAGTGAGACCCTGTCTACAAAGAAAGAAGAAAAAAAAGAAGAAGAAAGAAGAGAAAAGAAAAGCAAAAAGCAAAAGAAAAAAGTGGACTACCAATTTGTTTTTACAGTAAAGATTCCACTGTTAAAAATATTTAGAAGAAACTTGTAAGGAAGCATATGAATTATATTAACAGTGGCTGTGGGTTACTAAGTAGTGGTTTGAGGGTATTTATTTTTTCTTTCCTTTTAAAAAATTTAGTACTTTTCAAACTTTCTACAATGGGTTGGTATTACTTTTCAACCTCAAATAAAGTTTAAGTGTCTAACACGCAACCAAGGATTATCTAATTTTCTAGGGAAATTAGAACCCTTTGTTTAACTCAGCATTTATTATGGGTTAGGATATTTTTTATCTCTGTGAGGATAGACTTTAACTTGTCAAAAGCTGACAGACATGCAAATGAATTCGTCCAATATAAATAAATTGGTCTAGGAGAAATGCAAATGATTGCTGTCTTGTAGGAAAGATTATCCCCTAAGTCATCTTTTTTTTTTTCTTTTTTTGAGATGGAGTCTCTCTCTCTGTTACCCAGGCTGGAGTGCAGTGGCATGATCTTGGCTCATTGCAGCCTCCGCCTCCCAGGTTCAAGCAATTTTTATGCCTCAGCCTCTCGAGTAGCTGGAATTACAGGCACTCGCCATTACACCTGGCTAATTTTTGTACTTTTAGTAGAGATGAGGTTTTGCCATATTGGCCAGGCTGGTCTTGAACTCCTGACCTCAGGTGATCCACCCACCTTGGCCTCCCAAAGTGTGGGATTACAGCATCAGCTGCCATGTCTGGCCCACCCTAAGTCGTCATTTTATTGTTCTGGGGAGTATTAACCAGTTCTTGTATCTAATTGAACAATTCATAGCTCAGGGTTCTTTCTTTCAATGACTATAAATACTTAAACCTTTCCCATAATCTTTCAAACTGGCTTAACCATGCTGGCTCCTTTAATGAATTAAAAACAAAATTTGGCCTGTATTCAATCTATATTTGTTTGAAAGACATGTTCTGAAAGTTTGGAAACATTATATTTAGATGCCAGTTTTAAATTTGAAGCCATAGTTCCTCTCTCTTCTGACAATGGCATATTTGAGTATCAGCTTTCCAAACCCAGCCCACTTTAATTTATAATGCCACCAAAACATATTTACAATAGAAAAATGTTAACTAATAATGATTTTGGGTAACCAAAGCAACTGAGGTTTGAAGAGAAGGATGAGGATGGAAATTCTAAATGGAACATATAGGAATTTCAATGCCTTTCCAAGCTTCTGTAAATTTTCTACTACTAAATAACTGTGTGTGTATGTGTGTGTGTGTGTGTGTGTGTGTGTGTGTGTGTGTGTGTTTTCTTGCTGTCAAACAAGACTGAGAGATATTTTGTTGAGGTCCTTGGTAAGAACATATAGAGAAAAACTAATGAGGAAAAACTAAGGAAAAAATGTATGCATCAGTGAGAAACAGACCTAAGATTGAAACCCAGAAAAAAGAATAATTGAGGTTCATGTAAGACAGGAAGTGATGGACTTAATATGTATATATTTTTTTGAGACAGAGTCTCGCTCTGTTGCCCAGGCTGGAGAGCGTCTTGGCTCAATGCAACCTCTGCCTCCTGGGTTCAAGCAATCCTCATGCCTCAGCCTCCTGAGGTAGCTGGGATTAAAGGCATGCTCCGCCATGCCTGGCTAATTATTTTTGTTGTTGTTGTCTGCTTGTTTTTACTAAAGATGGGGTTTCAACATGTAGGCCAGGCTGGTCTTGAACTCCTGGCCTCAAGTGATCTGCCCACCTTGGCGTCCCAAAGCGCTGGGATTACAGGTGTGAGCCATCACACCCTGTGAAAGTGATGGTTTAGATGATAGATAATTTGTCATGCCTGACACCAGAAGAAATAAGAAATCCAAGACAATTTGGTCACTTGCCAGTGTTAAGAGAATAGAAAAAGAAAGGCTATCTTAATTTAAGTGGTTAAGTCCATATCCAACGGTATTTTTTTTTTTTTTACTTTTCATACTTCTGACAAATTTTCACATTAGATGTCTGTAACTTAGGTAACGAATGTCTGAAATGTATAGTCATATTATGGGATAAATATATTAAAATAGCATGTTTTCACGGTTTTTTTCCTAGTTATGAAATAATTTTTCTGGTTATATTTTCATTGTTGAGTACCAGAAAATCAGTGAAAGGAAAGCACGAAACAAAACAATGCTTCTCCTTGTCATCTCCCAGGTTTCTAATCTATAAAAAGAGGATAAGACTTCAAAAGATAATTGCCAGAATGACATAAAACATCTAGTACACATCTGGCACACCAGAATTGCCAAATAAATGTTGATTTCCTTTGCTGTAACTCAGTGGTTCTCGAATGGGGGTGATTTTGACCCCTCAGGGGACATTGGGCAATTTCTGGAGCCATTGTTGCTTGCCACGATGGGGAGGGGTGAGGAGTTTACTGGAATCTAGTGGGCAGAGGCCAGGGTTCCTGCTCAGCATCCTACAATGCACAGGGGAGCTTCTCATCACAAAGAACAATCCTGCACAATATGTCCATAGTGCTGAGAATGAGAAACTGGCCAGAAATGAAGGTGCCCTTTATGTCAAAGCTGTCAATGTGAAGTGCTTTCAAGTATAACCTAAGATCCCAGAATGTGAAATTCAAATTCTTTCTCCATCTTGTTCAGATTGCTTGAAAGTAGGACAGAAGACTGGAGAGGCAAAATGCAGGAGGAGAAAAACCAGACCCCCGTGGGTCTCAAAAGCAGCTCCTGGGATCTCAGTTAAGTGCCCAGTTATTCTGTGATTCTGGGAGAAGCGCACAGACGCCACTGGAGTAGCTGGGTGTCAGATTGCAGATGGAAGGACCTGAGGTTTCTGCAGTCCCAGCTCGTATTCACACCGTGGAACATTTGTCCTTAGCTTGTTTCCAACTTCCTTCCATCCCCTGCTCCCGTCACTTGCCCCCAAGTTGTCTTTGCTAAACAGTGAAAAGGGCTTAATGAAAATGACATTATAACTAGATGCATGCTCACTAATCTGAAAAGAGAAGGGTTCTTTCTGTTGATTTATTTGTAGTCTGCATTGCTATTATCTGTCGACATAAACAGAAAGCAGAGAGGAGAACCTCAGGAATTCTGAACTTTCAATCGGGACAACTTTCTCATTTGTTGTTTTAAACTTTAAAACAGCAGCAGACCTTTCTGGAAGGAGAGGTAGTGGCCAAAGTATAAATATGTTACGTTGCCAGGAGACGACAAAAAAAAAGGCAGAATTTTGGAGGTCACATACTTCAAGTGGTCCGTCCAGACTTCAAAGTCCAGTCTATTTATCCAACCATAGAGGATTGTGAAAAAATTCCCTTGATCACACCCCAATTTAGAGTTTATGCCTCAACAGTGTCATCTTTGATTATACAAGACCATGCTATGTGTACAAATATGGATAATTATGGTACGTGTTAGCCAGACAGTGAATCATAACAGCAAAACAAAACTCTAGTGTGTGTGTACACACGAAGGCTCACATGTGTTTTTGGTAAATAACAGCCAACACATGCTTTTCTCAAAAAATAAAAGTAGGAAACAATTTCACATGCCATAGTAAAAAAACAAGATGGAAATAGTCACAGACATAATAGAATTTTCTTTCAACATAGCAATCTATGTTGTCTCTAACAGGTTTTTTTTTTTTAACATTAACAAAATTTCCAACTGAGCTATTGCTATTGACTGAGAAGAGCAAAGTGCTTTTGTCCCAAAGCTGTACTATTTAAGGCAAGTAGTTGTACTGTGGAAATCCCTTCCTCAGAGTTTATCCCTCTAAGAAGCCATGATCAATCCCGCCTGCAATTCAGCAGCTTCAGATAAGGTGAGACTTTATTCAAATCAGAGCCACTCAAATAAATGAGCCTTTTTTGAGAAAGCGCGTTGAATTCAAGCATATTACGACTAACTGCAAAAACTGAAAAGGACTTTTCCCCATCCCCCCATCCCTATCGCTGAATGAGATACACTTGAAAATGAGAACCTACTGTTATTAATGAAGAGGCATAGCAATTTTATCTTCATGAAAGCTGCCACTTCAAGCAATTCTAGAAATAATGGGAGGAAAGGGTATTTTGGTGGCTTTTTTGGCCCCTTTACTCCCCAACCCCATAGATCTGTTGTATTGTAAATTTGACACTGAAAATCATAGCTTGCAATTTTTTGGTACTTGTAACCTGCATTTAACATGGTAAAGTCTCTTTTTCATACCATTAAAATGAATTAAACATCTTTTCAGAGTTAACTGTAAATGAACTGCTGATTATGTTCTATAGTAGTTAAATGAATCTAACTAATTCAATGTATTATGTATAATGTTTCAATATTTCTCCTTAATACAATTTCCACAGACTAATACAAGTTGTGCTAGGGACTAGGGAGGTTACATAAAGTGCTATTTTTGTCCCACTGTGTTTTTTAGATACCCCCTCTCACCCTGTTTCCTAATCCTCTTCTCCCAGCCTTTCTCTGACCTGCCATCTGAAGAGATTTCCTCCTGAAATGTTCACTTCTCACCTATGCTGAAAGAATACTTATTCTGTAGTCCTGGAATACTCTTTGTTTCTGCGAGGTTGGATTTTCCTAAATATTTAAGGTCTTTGAGTTCCAGATTGTTGCATTTAACGCCAATTTGATGACTCTGCATGGATATCCAATAGACTTCTTGATCTTTCTGTGTCCCCGAAAGAGCTACTAATTCCTCATACTACAGCAAACAGCACCCACATGCTCCCCTATCCTCCCAGCTAATCACTTACCAAGTCCTGTCCATGCTAACTCCAAAGTATTTCGCAAATCCAACCCTTGCCACCTCTCACCACCACTCCCTTTAGCAATATCCCCAGCTCATCTCTTGGACGCTGTCCAATCTCCATAGAGCAGCCAAAGAGGTCTTTATAAGGCACAGACAGCTTGTATCACCCTGCTGCTTAAAATTAAAGTCCTCTACTCATGTCTTGCTGCAGCTGAGATAACTGTGGCCTGCAGGGCCTGGGGAGATATGGCTTCCACTCACATCTCAGACGTCCTCTCCCCTCTCTCTGCCCCTTCATCCCCACACTGCAGCCACATTGGTGTCCTGCTGTCCTCGGACTGAGCCAAGAGCATTCCTGTGTTGGGGCCTCCGCACTTTCTCTTCCATCTGCTTAGAGTGCTTTCCCCTCACTGCCCCCACCCTGCGCCCCTAATCAACTCCTGCATGGCTGCCACCATGAACATACTTGGTACTTTTAGAGTGATATGATTTGGCCCACAATCCAGGGAAACCTTGAAGTTCATTCAGTACAGTGAAGAGTACACCAGATTTAGATTTGGAGATCTGAGCTAGGCCCGGCTCTGTTGCCATTAACTAACTGGCTAAGTTGCTTGATAGGCCTGAGACTCTGAGTCTTCTGCTGTTATGAGAGGATGTTCAACTCATCACCTAGAGGGAGGCTAGTGACTTAGTCTTCAAACCAACAGTTCTGGAGCTGTTATTCTAGTAACATGTTGGAGGAACAAGACTTTATGCAAGAATCTCAAGCAGTTAGAGGTAACAGTTATAATCTCTAGGGCTTCTCAGTTAATTTAAGTTAAAAAAAAGTCAGAAGAAATTGTGCAATTTTCACCCCCCCATCCTTTTTTTTTTTTTTTAAATGAGATGCCATCTAGCTATGTTCTCCAGGCTAGACTGCAATGACGCAAACATAGCTCACTGCAGCCTCAAACCCCTAGGCTCAAGTGATCCTCCTGCCTCAGCCTCCCAAGTATCTAGGACAATGGGTGTGTGCCATTGTGCCCAGCATCATCTAATCAAAAAAAATTTATGGCCAGGCACGGTGGCTCATGCCTGTAATTCCAGCACTTTGGGAGGCTTAGAAGGGCAGATCACAAGGTCAAGAGATCAAGACCATCCTGACCGACATGGTGAAACCCCGTCTCTACTAAAAATACAAAAATTAGCTGGGCATGGTGGCGCACGCCTGTAGTCCCAGCTACTCAGGAGGCTGAGGCGGGAGAATCACCTGAACCCAGGAGGCGGAAGTTGCAGTGGGCCAAGATCGCGCCATTGCACTCCAGCCTGGCAACAGAGTGAGACTCGGTTTCCAAAAAAAAAAGGCCGGGCATGGTGCAGAAGATAAAAAGGCCGGGCACGGTGGCTCACACCTGTAATCCCAGCACATTGGGAGGCCGAGGTGGGCAGATTATGAGGCCAGGAGTTCGAGACCAGCCTGGGCAACATGATGAAACCCCATCACCACTAAAAATACAAAAATCAGCCAGGCGTGGTGGCGGGGGCCTGTAATCTCAGCTACTTAGGAGGCTGAGGCAGGAGAATTGCTTGAACCCAGGAGGCAGAGGTTGCAGTGAGTCGAGATCATGCCACTGCACTCCAGCCTGGGCAACAGAGCAAGACTCCATCTCAAAAAAAAAAAAGTTTTAGTTTTAATTTTAACCTTTAGTTATTTTGGAGACAGGGTCTTGCTCTGTCACCCAGGGAAGTGGCACAATCACATCTCACTGTAGCTTCAACCTCTTGGGCTCAAATGATCCTCCCACCTCAGCCTCCCAAGTAACTGGGATCACAGGAACACACCACTACACCTGGCTAATCTTTCAATGTTTTGTAGAGACAGAGTCTTGCTATGCTCAGGATGGTCTTGAACTCCTAGGCTCGAGTGTTCCTCCCACCTTAGCCTCCCAAAGTGCTGGAATTACAGTCATGAACTGCTTCACCTGGCCATCTAACTTTTATTTAAACTAAAGCTTGTTGATGTCATGAGTTTTGGAAGGAATAGACCCGATAATTGTATTCACACTAGATTACATAAGCATATGCATGATATGTGACTAATGTGTAATTACGTATATGAAGTCTGTCAAATATTTTGAGTATTAAATAATGAATGCGATTTTTAGGACTTCTTTGTGTTATCTTTATAAATATCTGAATTTTTAAAACATAAATCTGGCTGGGTGCAGTGGCTGACAACTGTAATCTCAGCACTTTGGGAGGCCGAGAAGGGTGGATCACTTGAGGTCAGGAGTTCAAGACCAGCCTGGCCAACATGGCAAAACCTAGTCTCTACTAAAAATATAAAAATTAGCCGGGCAGGGTGGTGCGTGCCTGTAATCCCAGCTATTTGGTAGGCTGAGGCAGAAGAATCGCTTGAAACCAGGAAGTGGAGGAGGTTGCAGTTAGCCGAGATCGCACCACTGCACTCCAGCCTGGGACACAGAGCGAGACTCCATCTCAAAAAAGAAAACCAAACAAACAACAACAAGAAAACATAAATCTATAAATATAATAGCATAAAATAAACATAAAATATTTTATTGGAAACAATGAATTTGGGATAAAAGTACTATAAAACGAGGACATACAAGATTGCTAAAAATGAGATCATGAGGTACAAAGCACTGGTTTCTACCATGTGATCTCATCTCATTAATTTCTGCAGTGAAGTAGTGAGATTAATCCAACTTTCTAAACGCACACTTAGTGCAAATCGCAAAAATAATTGGCTACTCCCTGATTTTGACTACAATGGCCCATTATTTAAGCTTATATCTTTCTTCTTATCCTGCTTTTTTTTTTTTTTTTTTCTTTTTTTACTTGTAAGAGGTGATTTAGGATTACCAACTCTGGGAAAAAATATTCACAGCCACATTATAAAAAACATTATCGGCAGGATTCATCTCCTGCTCCTTTAGAATAAGAACTTTTCTTTTGTTTGTGGAACTTTGGAATGTACAAGCAAGACGTTCATTCATGCTTTAAAATGCTGTTTAACAATTGCTTAGCACTTTACCAGGGAGAATGTTTCTCCTGAGTGTTTACCACCCTATTCTGTAATACAGTTGAGGGTCCACATCAATGCTATCTATTCCTTCCTGGCCCAGAAGAACACACACATTTAATCTGAGTGCATTGAGTACCACAGCTGAGTGGAGAAAGGATTAGGGAGGCAATTAAGAATAAAAAGAAAATCCTTGCAAGTCAATGACAGAGCATGTATTTCCCTACAAACGAAAACGAGAAAATAATGCATCCATGAACTTGCAGCCCTCACTCCTTTCACTATGCATATGCCTCTTGTGAGGGGTTCTCCAAGTGTAGTCTGAGAGCCCTGAGAGCAATCAGGAGGTCTGCAAAGTCAAAACTATTCTCTGAGTATCAAATGAAAAACTGGATATACCCCCAACATAAATACAGTCTTTGGGAGATGTGGAGGTTTTGTGTTTCCTTATTCTCTACATATCCAGTGAAATCATATACAGTTCTACAAATCTCTGACCTAGGGTTACGTTTGGTTCACACAAATAGCTCAGAATCCCTGAAGCTTGCTTAACCAACCCCTGATGAAAGAGCAGTTCATTGAATTGAGTCCCAAATCTACATCGACTTCAATGTACAAGTCTCTTTAGGATGAATGTCTTGCTATTCTACACTGGTTTGTTAAATTAGGGGGACTAAAACTTTATAGAAGTTTCAGTCTTTGATGATGTGAATTGAACCCTAGTAAGCAGGACCCTTTAAGTGCCTGTGTAGACAAACAGTGTAAGTGCAATTTAAGTATATTTATACTTAAGTATAATAGTGGTTATACTTATAGAACAGTGAATTATTCTAACTATGAATATAATGAGTATGATACCTAAGTGGATAAACCAGGCCAAAAGTACCCAGGTAAGCATTCCTTCTTGCTTTAAACCAGTCTTTCTCAGCCTTGCTGCAAAGTGGAATCACAGGGAGCTTTAAGTTATACCAACTATTGAATCCCACCCTATGAGATTCCAACTTAATTGGTCTGGGATGCAACTTGGTTGAGCATGTGGATTTTTTAAAGTTCCCCAGATGATTCTAATGTGTGGCCAAGGTAGCAAATTATTGTTTTAGGGCCATGTAAATTCTCCTCTTTTCTCTGCATGGTTCATCATTGTTCAGTCTTGACCCTTGAATTCTGGCAGCTCTTGAATTTCTACCACGAAACCCAGCATTTGATGACTTCTAAGATTCTTAGAGCACTGCATAGAGGTTGGATCTTTTCAGGTCCTCTTTCCAGAACTGGCTACAAAAGCTCACCACTTACCCCTAAGGCAGCCCATCTTCTCATATCCTATCTGCTTCAAGAATTTGACACTTCTGATATGTCTTCAACTTCCACTCTGCCTTTCCTCAGGCATTTGACAAAACTTCCCCTTGCCCTGAAGTCTTGAACTAGCCCTGCCAGGACACCCCCCAACCCTCAGTCCTAGCTCCAGAGGCTCTAGTGTGCCAAACCCTGCTCATCTGTAAGAAGAGGTTAGTCGGATACTGCCTTAAATTTCTGTCTTCAGCAGAATACAGGGTATAAATGTGGTCATTGAAAACATGACTGGGGCTGGGCGTGGAGGCTCATGCCTCACCTGTAATCCCAGCACTTTGGGAGGCCGAGGTGGGCAGACTGTTTGAGGTCAGGAGTTTGAGACCAGCCTGGTTTCGTGGAGAAACTCCGTCTCTACTAAAAATACAAAAATTAGCTGGGCACGGTAGCATGCGCCTGTAATCCCACCTACTCAGGAGGCTGAGGCAGGAGACTCGCTTGAGTCCAGCAGGTGGAGGTTGCAGTGAGCCGAGATCACTCCACTGCCCTCCAGCCTAGGTGGCAGAGGGAGACTCCGTCTCAAAACAAATAAAAACAAACAAACAAACAAAAATGACCGGGCAACTTAGGATTTCCAGATGTGCATATTTCTACAAAAGAGCATTTAGGTATATCTGATATTTTTGGAGGCTGAAGAAATAAATAGAAATAAAATCATGTTATTTTTATTATGAAAATATAATGGATATACTTACAAAAAACATGTTCTTTATATAATTAATAGGTATGCTCTTTTGTGGTCACTTTTCTTGGACCCTCAAATCCACAGGTGCTCTGGAATAACATCAGAACATATTTCAAATCTTTAAGTCAAACAGAATGAAAACCAATCTGGAATGTTCTAGGATACCATTCTTTAATATCATGGAAATTTGACTTATCAGTCTTCAAGGAAGGGTGGCCTATGGGAATGCTTAAAAAAAAATCATTACTTTCACTAGGTGCAGTGACTCACGCCTGTAATCCCAGCACTTTGGGAGGTTGAGGTGGGCGGATCACTTGAGTCCAGGAGTTCAAGACCAGCAAGGGCAACATGGCAAAAAAACCCGTCTCTACCAAAAATACAAAAAATTGCTGGGCATGGTGGCACATGCCTGTAGTCCCAGCTACTCGGAGGGCTGAAGCGGGAGGATTGCTTGAGCCCAGAAGGTCAAGTCTGCAGTGAGCCCTGATCACACCACTGTACTCCAACTTGGGCAACAGAGTGAGACCCTGTCTCAAAAAAATTATTACTTTCTACTTTCTGAATTAACATGAAGGAGCATAAATAAAATTTTGAAGAGGTTCATGTGGTCAGAGGGGTAAACTGTCATATTCCAAAGAAAAGTGAAGATATCTTGAAGTAAAACTTCTTCCAAGTGAGCTGTGCTTATTAAGTACCAAATGGGATCCAATTTATTTGCAGTATTTAATCTAATGCAGTCAGAGGGCATAGCAGTTCTGACGAAGTCTGATGAAGGAGGAACTCTGTTTACTTCCACCCGCTCCTTCTCCCTGGATTAAAACACCACGAATTTTCTGCTCTTTGCTTTTCTTGAATAAGTTACCAAAAAAGAGCAGAACTAAGTCAACACCAAACTGCCCTTTGGATAAACAAGATGGAGCAGATTTATTTACCTTGGAACATGATTTTGAATTCAAGCCATGAAGTACACTGGAGGAATGCCTTACATCTACTAATTATTCATTTTGGAATTCCAATTTTGACTCAAGGTAATATTTGCATGTTTTATTTATTCCTAATCATTCAGTCCATTTTTTTCCTTTTTAAAACTGCTTTATTTTTTTCTGTTTCTGTACACTAACTCTGAATAACTGTAGTAGCTCATATCTTCTGTTAATGATTTATCTTGAAAATAGAAGACAACAGAGTCAGGTTAGCATAGGACTAACACCGTAGGAATCAACATGAAGAAAAAATAGGTTTCAGCTAGGCACAGTGGCTCATGCCTATAATCTCAGCAGCTTTGGGAGCCCAGGAGTTTGAGCCCAGGAGTTCAAGACCAGCCTGGGCAATATGGAGGAATTACATCTCTACAAAAAGTACAAAAATGAGCTGAGCATGGTGGTGTGCGCCTCTGGTCCCAGCTACTCAGGAGGCTGAGGTGAGAGGTTGGCTTGAGTCTGGGAGGTGGAGGCTGCAGTGAGCTGAGATTATGCCACTATACTCCAGGCTGTGTGATAGAGCCAGATGAAAGAAAGGAAAGGGAAGAAAGGGGAGGGGAAGGGGAAAGGGAAAGAGAGAGAAGGAAGGAAGGAAGGAAGGAAGGAAGGGAGGGAGGGAGGGAAAGAGAAAGAAAGAGAGAGAGAGAAGGAAAGAAAGGAAAAGAAGGAAAGAAAGAGAAAGGAAAGAAAGAAAAAAGACAGAGAAAGAGAGAAAGAAAAAGAAGGAAAGGAAAGAAAGAAAAGAAAAGGAAAAGAAAAGAAGGAAGAAAGAAAGAGAAAGAAAGACAGACAGACTAGGTTTCATCTGGGTGTGGTGGCTCAAGCCTGTAACACCAGCAACTTTGGGAGGCCAAGGCAGGAGGATTGCCTGAGACCAGGAGTTCAAGACCAGCCTTGGCAACGTAGCAAGACACTATCTCTACAAAAAATTTAAAAAAAAAATTAGCTGGGCATGGTGGTGCATGCCTGTAGTCCCAGCTACCTGAGAGGCTGAGGCACAAGGATCCCTTGAGCCCAGGAGGACAAGGTTATAGTGAGCTATGACTGAGCCACTGTACTCTAGCCTGGGAGACAAAGTGGGATCCTGTCCCTAAAAAGACAAAAACCAACTAGGTTTGAGGCAAATGACTTTGCTTTGTAGGTCAGTTTCTGCAACTAAAAAACGGGGATGCTCTGGACTAGCTCTGGCTACATGACTGGGGGACCCAGTTCACACTGAAAATGTGGTGTCCCTTGTTCCAAATTATGAAGGATCACAGCAGAATAATAGCAGAGCAGTAATCCAAGTGTGGAGCCCTTCTCAGCACAGGCGACATGCTCATGAAGCTAATACTAATAGCACATCTTTCATGGCGTAAGAGTGAGGAATAAGTAACATATGTAAAGTGCTAAGTATAGTGTCTGGCACATGTAAGGTTTTTGTTGTTGTTGTTTTGACATGGAGTCACGCTCTGTTGCTCTGATGTCCAGGCTGGGGTGCAATGGCACACTCTTAGCTCACTGCAACCTCTGCCTCCTGGGTTCAAGCAATTCTCCTGCCTCAGCCTCCTGAGTAGATGGGAATACAGACGCATGCCACCACACCCAGTTAATTTTTGTATTTTCAGTAGAGACGAGGTTTCGCCATGTTGGCCAGGCTGGTCTCAAACTCTGGACTTTAAGAAGAGATCCACCCACTTCGGCCTCCCAAAGTGTTGGGATTACAGGCGTGAGCCACTGCACCCAACCCCACAGGTAAGTTTTGAATAAACATTAACTGTTTAAAACATATTATTTCTGTTACTTTGCATTCCATATTATGGACTTCCCAATTGGCTTATTTATGTCTCTTTGCACATTCCTTTACCAATATCATCCATTCATTCTGTAAGTATTTGCGACTGGCAAGGCTACCAAAACTTCTGCATTCTGAAATGGCCTCCCTCTTTGTCTTCCTGGCAAACTCCAATCCATATTTTAAATTCAATGGAAACTTTCCTTCCTTTCAGATGCCTTCCCTGACCTTACTAGAGAGAAAGCTTCTCTTCATTATCCATTGCATATTGTTTATAATAGCACCAGCCACCCCATGTATGCAAATACTTATCTAATATATAATTCTCCTCCCTGTAATGCCGAAGCTCCTCATGAACAGAAACACATAGATGGTACCTAATTAATAGTTGACAGATGAGTGAATGAATGATTTTTTAAATTCCTTGCAAGTGTATCATCAAAGATTCATTTGCCTTCCTAGCCATTACACTCATTCGTATGATCAGTTAGATGTTTAAAATGGTATTTTCCCCTATCATTTTGTGTAATGTTTTATCTGTTGTACATCAGCAGGCTATTCATGGAATATAACATGCCATTTTCTACAAATGACTTTAAGATGGAGATGACTGAATTTATGTTGTCTCATTTCAATGTGTTCAAAGAAGTGTAATCATATTGTAACAGTTTAAAACATGCCTGAAAGAAGCTCACTACTTATTTTCTGGATGGAGAAAATAGGAAAATCTATTAACAACATAAAGCTTTCCAACTTTTTGCTTTCTGTTCAGTGTAGTTATTGAATGTGATTATCTCTTTTCATTAGGACATTCCAAGTAAGTGAATTTTCCAGTATTGAGACTCACTCTTAACTGCTCAAAAATATCACATTGAGATCCATTCTGGGGAGAATAATCTCTAATTCCATACAATCTTACACTGGAAATATGGAATCCAAGTGAATCTTTTTTTGATTATTCAGATTCATACTTATGAACATTACTATACTATGATTCGATGAGTGTTCCAAAATTAAAAAACAGACTAAATGTTCACCAACATTTAGTGGATAAATTGTGATATAGGTTCTAAAATGGAATATTATACAAATATCACAGACCAAATGCAGAAATGTAATATTCAGTAAAAAAAAACCAAGCCCTCAAAAAATATATACTTAGAATATGATTGCATTTACATACAAAATACAAAAATAGGCAAAATCACTCCACTTTGCTTAGGGATGTGTAAAGATATGGAAAAATAATAAAGAAAAACAAGGAGAGGCCAGGAGCAGTGGCTCACGCCTGTAATCACAGCACCTTGGGAGGCTGAGGCGAGAGGATTGCATGAGCCCAGGAGTTCAAGACCAGCCTGGGCAACACAGTGATACCCCATCACTACAAAAAAAAAAATTAGCTGGGTGTGGTGGCATGTGCCTGTAGTCCCAGCTACTCAGGAAACTGAGGCTGGAGACTGCTTGAACCCAGGAGGAGAAGCCAGCAATGGGCCATGATCATGCCACTGTACTCCAGTCTGGGTGACAGAGCAAGACCCTGTCTCAAAAAAAAAAAAAAAAAAAAAGAATATCACCATAAAAGTTAAGGTAGTGGCTATCATTTTTCTTGCAATTTTCTATAGGCATCTCATTTCCAAAAAAAAAAAAATTAAAAATATTTCTTGATGTTTTTAGGCAGGAAGTAAGACCTTTAAATTTAATACACTATCACTACTGCACATGTAAAAGCACTACAAGTCTATTAATGTAAATGACTTAGCCAGCTGTGGTCTCTAACGCAAAAATAAGATACTTTAAGAATTTATTCCTTTAATGTCATGTTTTGACAATCATCTACCTTAGTTTCACAAATATAGTCATTATTTCTTTCATATTCACTTTGAAATCAGAGATTAATAGAACATTAAAAGCTACTCCATTTTCCTAAAAGGAAATAAAATCATATAATTAGAGATATCACATTGCTCTCAGATCTTTGTTTCTAATCGGCTTATTCCATCTCATTCAGGGTAATTTTGTAAAATTATGGAAATGTGGGATGTTTTGTAGGACAACAAACTTGTTACATATAAAAACAACAAAAACAAATTACTGATTGTGTTGGTGAACAGCAAAGAACCTTAATCAACAAACATTAACCACAAAATATCTGCTCACTGCCTGCTTTTTACAAATCATGCGATTTCATCCATGAAAGTTGATTTGCATTCTTTTTTGAGTGTTATTCAGCTCATTTTAATTATTCTTGTCATTAGCTGTATTCTCTGATTTCCAAGATGTTAATTTGGAAATCAGAGTTAATACTCTCTGATTTCTAAGATTTCTGTTTGAGGGATTTTAACATCCTAGAAAGGTTTCTCTCTTTTGTGGGGACAGGGTCTTGCTCTCTTGCCCAGGCTGGAGTGGAGTGGTACGATCATAGCTCACCACAGCCTCCAACTCCTGGGCTCAAGAGATCCTCCTGCCTCAGCCACTTTAGTAGCTAGGACCACAGGCATGCGCCACCATGCCTGGCTAATTTTTTAATAATTTTTTGTAGAGACAGAGTCTTGCTATGTTGTTCAGGCTGGTCTTGAACTCTTGGCCTCTTGTGATCCTCCCACCTTGGCCTCACAAAATGCTGGGATTATAGGTGTGAGCCACCACCCCTGGCTTAGAAAGGTTTCTCCCTACCAACAACCCATGAATCCCAAAAACAATTCAAAAAGAGGGGCAGAGGGCAAAAGATGCATCAACAGGCCAGGACCTAATATGAGGTAATGGCTCCTATGATTGTCACATATCCACACTAGTGAGGTGATTAAAATACCAAACACCAACTGCCTTCTCTCCTTTAAAAAAAAAGTTTGTGAGTACACAGTATGTGTATTTATTTGTGGGGTACATGAGATGTTTTGATACAGGCATGCAATATGAAATAAGCACATCACGGAGCATGGGGTGTCCATGCCCCCAAGCATTTGTCCTGTGAGTTACAAACAGTCCATTTATACTCTTCAAGTGATTTAAAAATGTACAACTAAGTTATTATTGACTATAGTCACCCTATTGTGCTGTCAAACAGTAGGTCTTATTCATTTTTTTTTCCCACTAGCAATTGCCTTGTCAATCACTAATTTGTCATACTTCTGGTAGCTGGTGAAATAAATTAAATTTTCTAAGTACTGTGGTATTCTCAAATACATGCATAGTCAAAACATAACCTAAGACAATCTCTCAAAGTCTAGTTACATCACTGCACTTATACCCCAAGTTGATCTAATCAATAAATGCCATCAGTTGGAGGTGGAGGGAAGGTGTTCAGAGTAATCAGAGGCTCAATATCAACTTCCCACTTATCTGAGAAAATGTCTCATGGCCTGCAGGGATGCACCAGAAGTCCTCAGCTTCACCTAGAAGGTCTATTTCTGCTTTCTCAATTCTCTGTTTCTAAGAGACACATTTTCTTCCTGGACTGCACTTCAGAAATACTTCAGTTTGTGGTGTGTGAAATAAAGGATTTACTAATAGTTGCCTTAGAAGGAAAAATATGAGCTTTCTGTCCCCTTGCATGTTATCATCAGTAGTTCTACCTGCAAATCAAGTTAGTTAAGTAAGACAATTATTTCTTTTTCAAATCCTTGGTTTCTTGGATATGGTTATTCTACTTGTAATGAAATGACTATTGAGAGCATCCAAAATGTGCAAAAAAATCAGACAAATGTTGCTGGACAGGAAGTGAAAATCAAGTATATTCTTTTTCAGCCCATCAATAAGTAAATAATAGCCAATAGTTACGCAGTTCTAACTATGTTCTTTTCTAGTTCTTTCCATGCATTTATTCATTCAACCTAAAAAACAACCCTGTGGGTTACATACAACTATCCCCATTCTACAGATGAGATGACAATGGCATGGGAAGTTAAGTAACTGGCCCAAGATCACAGTTAGTAAGTGGCAGGGCTGGGATTATGTCCCCGCAGTCTAAATTCAGACTTTGTGCTCTCAAACATCACATTCTACTGCCTCTAATAATCGTGTCTTTTTTCATGCAAAGACTTAATTCTAAGCTATGTTTTAAGCACTAGTTTTTCAAAATTTTTGCCAGAACAACATTCATTAAATATATGTTCACTCATTTCACCAAACGAAAAAAAATTTGTTTCGTACTTAACTATGTCATAGACCACAAAACCAAAGCAAAGCAAAGCAAATGAAACAAACATAACAATGCAACTACGAAGACTTTGCCCTCACTGAAGATGAGTAAGACAAAAGCTCCCTGTGCTCAAACAGCTTCCAATCTGGTAGAAAAATTGGAGAGTACATGAGGATTGGGTATAAAAGGGTCAACAGAGTTTGACGTGTGAATCAAAGAGGGGGAAATTAATTCGAACTGGTGAGATATCAGTTTATGGAGGAGCTGACAGGTCCTTGGGGTGGCGGGGTCGGCATGAAAGTGGATCGGGGAGTGATTGGAGGGGAAGGTGATACTCGGTGGAATGATGCCTTCAGAAGGAGCCAAAGAGCAAAGCTATAGGAGGAAGACAGTGAATCTGTCCCTCCCGGTCTGTCTGGACTCACGTGCTGCTATCCTCACCACTGGCCTCCACTCCAGCTGCCCTGGCCTCTCTGTTCTTGGGTCCCACCAGACTCACTCTTCCTCAGGGCCTTTGCACTTGCCTCTGTCCAGAACTCTCTCCACCTTAGCTCACCCTGTGGCATTTCCTTGTCATACAGGTCTCAGCTCAAAGGTCACCTCATTAGAGAGTCCTTCACTCTACTGCAAAACGCTCACACTTCCCCTTAATTTGTCAGTTTATTTGGTTTGTTTATTTACTATCTTTCTCAGTTACAAAATATTCTTTTTCAAAAATTAAATTCCTTCCCTTTGTTGTGCCTTTTTATTTTTTAATTATTTATATTATTTTTTAAAATATTAAGCTCCAGGATACATGTGCAGAATGTACACGTTTGTTACATAGGTATGCATGTGCCATGGTGACTTGTTGCACCTATCAACCCATCACCTAGGTTTTAAGCCCCACATGCATTAGGCATTTGTCCTAATGCCATCCTTCCCCTTGCCCCCCACCCCCTGAGAGGCCCTGGTGTGGGTTGGTCCCCTCCCTGTGTCCATGTGTTCTCATTTTTCAACTCCCACTTATGAGTGAGAACATGCAGTGTCTGGTTTTCTGTTCCTGTGTTAGTTTGCTGAGGATGATGGCTTCCGGCTCCATCCATGTCCCTGAAAAGGACATGATCTCATTCCTTTTTATGGCTGCATAGTATTCCACAGTGTATATATACCACATTTTCTTTATCCAGTCTGTCATTAATAGGTATTTGGGTTGGCTCCAAGTCTTTGCTATTGTGAACAGTGCCACAATAAATGTACGTGTGCATGTGTCTTTACAGTAGAATGATTTATATTCCTTTGGGTACATACCCAGTAATGGGATTGCTGGGTCAAATGGTATTTCTGGTTGTAGATCCTTGAGAAATTCCCACATCGTCTTCCACAATGGTTGAACTAATTTACATTCCCGCCAACAGTGTAAAAGCATTCCTATTTCTCCACAGCCTCACCAGCATCTATTGTTTCCTGACTTTTTAATAATCACCATTCTGACTGATGTGAGATGGTATCTCATTGTTTTGATTTGCATTTGTTTGATAATCTGTGATGATGAGCTTTTTAAATATGTTTGTTGGCCTCATAAATGTCTTCTTTTGAGAACTGTCTGTTTATATCCTTGGCCCACTTTTTGATGGGGTTGTTTTTTTCTTGTAAATTTGTTCAAGTTCCTTGTAGATTCTGGATATTAGACCTTTGTCAGATAGGTAGATTGCAAACATTTTCTCCTATTCTGTAGGTTACCTGTTCACCATGATGATAGTTTATTTTGCTGTACAGAAGCTCTTTAGTTTAATTAGATCCCATTTGTCAGTTTTGGCTTTTGTTCTAATTGCTTTTGGTGTTTTCATCATAAAGTCTTTGCCCATACATAGGTTTTCTTGTAGGATTTTTATGATTTTAGGTTTTACATTTAAGTCTTTAATCCACCTTGAGTTAATTTTTGTATAAGGTGTAAGGAAGGGATCCTGTTTCAGTTTTCTGCATATGGTTAGCTAGTTTTCCCAGCACCAATTATTAAATAGGGAATCCTTTCCCCATTGCTTGTTTTTGTCACGTTTGTTGAAGATCAGATGGTTGTAGACATGCAGCGTTATTTCTGAGGTCTCTATTCTATTCCATTGGTCTATATGTCTGTTTTGGTACCAGTACCATGCTGTTTTGGTTACTGCAGCCTTGTAGTGTAGCTTGAAGTCAGGTAACATTATGCCTCCAGCTTTGTTATTTTTGCCTAGGACTGTTTTGACTATACAGGCTCTTTTTTGGTTCCATATGAAATTTAAAATAGCTTTTTCTAATTCTGTGAAGAAAGTCAATGGTAGTTTGATGGGAACAGTATTGAATCTATAAATTACTTTGGGCAGTTTGGCCATTTTCACGATATTGAATCTTCCTATCCATGAGCATAGAATGTTTTCCCATTTGTTTGTGTCCTATTATTTTCTTGAGCAGTGGTTCGTAGTTCTCCTTGAAGAGGTACTTCAGGTCCCTTGTAAGCTGTATTCCTAGGTTAAAATAGATTCTTTTAGAGCATAAAGACCTCATGTTCTTTATTCATAGCTGATTTCCCAATGTCCAGAGCAATGGCTGGAACAGAGGAGCACTCAATAAATATGTATGGAATAAATGAATAAATAAATGTCAGAAATTTTCAAGAAAGAATGGATGTTCCTTAGGGTCATATCATTCTACCAAAAGACACCTGCACTCATATGTTCATCGCAGCACTGTTCACAATAGCCAAGATGAGGAATCAACCCAGGCACCTGTTGCTGGTGCACTGGATAAAGAAAATGTGATACATATACACCCACAGGATACTATGCAGCCATAAAAAAGAATAAAATCATGTCCTTTGCAGCCACATGGATGCAGCTAGAGGCCAAGAACCTAGGCAAATTAATACAGTAACAGAAAATCAAATTCTACATGTTCTCACGAGTGGGAGCTAAACATTGGGTACACCTGGACACAAAGAAGAGAACAATGAACACTGGAGTCCCAAAAGGGGAGAGGTAGGAAAGGGTGAAAAACCATCTATTGGGTTCTTTGTTCACTACTTGGGCAATGGGATCTTTAGAAGCCCAAACCTCAGCGTCATACAGTATACCCATGTAACAAATCTGCATCTGTAACCCCCAAATCTAAACTTTTAAAAAAGATTTAAAAAAAAAAAGCTAGGGAAAAGTTTGGTAGGATGAAGGCCAAAAGGAAGTCATTAGATTAAGCAAGGAGAAGGTTTCTGGAGACCTTTGAGAGGACAGTTTTTGTAAAGTAGGTTTTCTGTGTGGGGGGCAGGGGGTGGTGTGGGGAATGGGGAGACAGCTGTAAGTTTATGAGTGCATGGGAGGTAAGAATGTGTTTCCTTTCAATTCTTGCTGGATTGTGAAGGTGGTAGAGGTAAAAAGCAAAGTTTCTTCTTGTAATAGGAGCTTACCTTTTCTCTTCTCCACTCTCCTAAGAAGCATGGCTTCCTTGAGGGTAATTATAAAAAGAATACCCAAGGATGAAGTAAGTTGGCAAGGTCTGCTGGGGCTAAGACAGTGCTAAGATTTGCAGGATCCTAATACAAAAAGGACAGAGAACCTGGAGGAAGCCACTTATTTATTCTTATAGGCTTATTGAGTAGGTTAAGATCTTTCCTAGGGACCAGGTCTGGTGGCTCATGCCTGTAATTCCAGCACCCTGGGAAGCTGAGGTGGGTGGATTGCTTTAGCCCAGGGGTCCAAGACCAGCTGAGGCAACATGGTGAAATTGGCACTACAACGAATACAAAATTTAACCAGGCATAGTGCCATGTATCTGTAGTCCTAGCTACTCAGGAAGCTGAGGTGGGAAGATTGCCTGAGCCTGGAAGTTGGAGGCTGTAATGAGCTATGGCCACACCACTGCAGTCTAGCCTGGGTGACAGTGCGAGACTCTGTCTTAAAAAAAAAAAAAGAGAGGGGGGAAGAAAAAAAGAAAGACCTTTTCTAGTTATCAATACAGATTTTTAATTCAGAGATAATTTGAGATAATACAGGCTAACTGAACTTTCCTTTGATTTATCAGGCCTATTTCACATTGTTAGGACTAGGCAGCTACCCAACATTATTGAGAACTTAATTTATACCAGCTCCTGTTTTAGATACTAGAACTAGGGAATTGAATAAGTAGATGCTAATACTGCAAAAAATTACTTTAAAACACCTGGGAAATAGATGTTTCAAGTACCTATTAACCTTTAGAGAATTTACATATATATGTAAATGTAAATGTAAATGTAAATTACACACACACATATATAATGTATCTCAGAGGTGTGCTCCTGGAGCTGGCCTGCCTGACTGTTAAAATTTTGGGAATTTGGAGAGTCAGTTGTCAAATACAGCCATTACTAGAAGTTACTAAAACCTGTGACTAAATAAATTATGCTAAAAACAAAGACAATACTCAAAACTCATAACTTCCTAATGATTTTGCTACTGTCTGTACTCCGAAGTTCATTACGTCTATGATGGAAACTGCAGAATGGTGTCAGCAGCATGACTTTCAGCTCTGCATTCAGTGAGGCGATGTTGTAGCTTGAAGTTGTCCATGGTGGGAGTATTTATACCATGGAAATTGGAAAGCGCTACACATCAGAACTTATTTTCTTCTTTATTTTTTGGATAGTGGAATATTAAACATTTACCAACACACCACTCTTTTTAGTTTCATTTTGTTTTGTTTCTTTGGGACAGGATCCTACTCTAGCACACAGGTTGGAGTGCAGTGGCACCATCATAGCTGACTGCAGCCTTGAACCTCTGTGCTCAAGTTACCCTCCCACCTCAGGCTCCAGAGCAACTGGGACCACAGGCAGGCACCACTGCATCTGGCTAATTAAAAAAAAAAAAAGTTTTTTTTTTTTTTTTTTTTTTTTTTTTTAAATAGAGACAAGGTCTCTTTTTGCTGCCCAGGCTGATCTCAAACTCCTGGGCTCAAGCAATCCTCCTGCCTTGTCCTCCCAAAGCACTGGGATTACAGGCGTGAGCTACAGTGACTGGCCCACTGTTTTTGTTTTTGTTTTGTTTTGTTTTGTTTTGTTTTGTTTTTGACAGAGTCTCGCTCTGTTGCCCAGGCTGGAGTGCAGTGGTGTGATCTTGGCTCACTGCAACCTCCACCTCCCAAGTTTGAGCAATTCTCCTGTTTCAGCCTCCCAAGTAGCTGGGATTACAGATGTGTGCCACCACACCCTGCTAATTTTTGTATTTTTAAAGTAGAGATGGGGTTTCACTGTGTTGGCCAGGCTGGTCTCGAACTCCTGACCTCAGGTCATCGGCCGGCGTTGGCCTCCCAAAGTGCTGAGATTACAGGCATGAGCCATGGCGCCTGGTCCCACTGTTTTTATCTCTGAATTAGAAAGTACTTTGTACATGTCTATCTAACTTACTAGGTTAGAGTTAGTATGTGAATTTCTAAGGGCAAGTATTTTTTAAAAAAAGAAATGAAACACCACTAGAATTCCAATTGTCCTTCCCATGAGTTTTTCTGAGTTAGTAAGTTTTTAGTGTAAGTGTTTTTTAATCTTTTGGTGCAGATTTTAAGAGGTTTTCAGGATGAAGTAATACTCTTCAGGTGCACTGGTATTGCTACTGTATCAAACAAACATCTTTTATTGGACCTTGGAGACGTTTTTATTCTGTAATATTTTTGCTGTATTTGTTACAGTGGGTACTGTAGGGTTCATGTGTATGAAAAAATGTTTTGCTGTATGGCAGACAGTTTTTGAATGGTAACTGAGGGCAACAGTAATAGACTGATTTAGCTGTTTTAGTTACTTTATGGTGGCTCACGTTTTTTTTTTCTCACAAATGTGGGAAGATGAACTGTGGAATTTCAATTGTCTGAATATGTTTCCCCTTCTAGGCAAATAATTTTTCAGACTTGAAGAAGGAGGAAAAACAGAAAAAAAAAACCCTGATATTTACTGATGTAACAAACAAAAAGTATACTCTATTGATAACTCAGTCTCAGATAGCCCAATCATTTTCCCCATGTTGTGAACAGAGTCAAACATCTTTGTAATCTCCTTATCCAAAATGAACAATTCAACTAACATTCAAATTCACTAACAATAAAAATATTAATTAGGATTATTTTTTGATAGGTGGATTAATTATACAGCTCTTACTTTTCCCCGAATCCCAACTTTTAACAGTAATACATTATGGTTTTATAACAACTCTTTTTTCTAGAAAGCTATTAACCACAATATCGGGAATTTAGTATGATAATTATAGAGTTTCCAAGTGATAAAATCCATGTATACGTGTGTCCAATCATTGATTCACTCAACAATCAATATTCATTGACCATAAAAGGCTAATAACAGCCTGAAGTTACTGTGTGATTAATTTAGTGTTTCACACTCCAAGTTAAAATATTTGACTGTCCAGAAGCCTTTAGTGTGTTTTCTTTCTTTCTTCTAAAGTCTACAACATTTCAATGAAGCGGAATTTACTTGATCATAAATAGATGACCTGCAGGCCATTATTTTTGTAGTAACCAGAAATAGAAACAGCTCTTTGAAAATGATTAACTAGAAGAATACAATGTTTTTCGCTAGTGTGGGAACATACCGCTTTCCTCAATGGAATACATCTGCAATTCTCTTAACCAGCGACAAACCGAAAAAGCAAGTCAGGCTCACAAGAAGGAGTGATAGCCGATGGCTTTATGGCTTTAGTGGAGCATATTTTCCCCTTAATAGATTGATTATTTATTTAAATAAAGCTTTGGATTTAATCTTAATTACATTCTCCTCTTTAGACCCCGAGCTGGGGAGGAAAAGGAAGTGTTGAGATATTCCATGCCACTTTTAGGTCAAAAGATAGAAAGCTCCAAAGATAGGAACTGAGTTCAGAGAAGCAAATAGGAAAACAGATTTAAAAAAATACACAGCAATTGGCATGGTTATAAAATGGTGGTAATTTTGCCTTTCCCAGGAGACATCTGGCAGGTTCTGGAGACATTTTTGGTTGTCACAGTTGGAGAGGAGTGTTTCTGGCGTCTAGTACGTAGGGGCCAGGGACGCTGCTAACCATCCTACCATGCACGCGACGGCTCCACGGCAACGAGATATCCAGCCCCAAATGGCCACGGTGCTGAGGCTGAGAACCTGCTATAAATCTAAACTGTTTTTGCGATACTAGATTCATAAAATATTGCTCAGTGCTAGTGGGAATATACTGGAGATATAAAAGAAAACACCCCTTATCTAAATATCTGCTTAAAGGTTTCTTTCTCATCTAACGATGAATAATTTTTAGGGACAGTTCTTTATCTAAATGCAACTATAAAAAATGATCACAGTCACCAAATTCTTAGTGCATGCTAGGCGCTGTACATTTGCTTCAATCATCCTGTTCAAATTTATTACAACCATATGATGTCAGTGCTATTATTAGCACAGAAAAACAATCATTTATTGCATTGAGTATCCTCTAGAGGTCAGCAGTCACTTGCTCTTCTCTTGGTCCGTAATCGTCAGTAGCATGACCTTGAAATGTGGCTAAAAAAGTCAATGTCAGGAGAACGCACTAAAACTCTGGATGCCATTTGAATGCCCCCGCCCCCAAGAGTTCTGTAGTCCTAAGTGTTAAAAAATACAGGCAAAGGAGACAGGACTTATCAAAGGTATTTAGAGTTAGATGGAAAAGGCACACATAAATCTTAAAAGCTAAAGAAAGGCCAAATCTAATTCAGTGTATGAAGACAGAAAAGAGCAGATTAGGGATCTGAATGACCTGGGCTATCACAGCTCTTCCTCCCTGCATCCTGCCACCCCACACCTTCAAACACACACACTTAAAGGACACTGATACAGTGACCTTAACAGAGCTCTGTGTATCTCCTTATAGTCATCGACAAGGATTTATTCAGCATCTGGGCCAATATTTCTGGCTGTTATATAATCTTAACTGGCTGAGCTAGGATGATATAAATTATTCCTTTGTGGGCAAGTCCAGAAAAATTTATAATTAAAAGCAGAGCTATTTCAATGACTAAACAAATATAAATAATATTTTTTTATGTAAAGGAGCTTGTGCATATTTCACATTTTACATATTTTTAGTGTTTAAGAGAGTTCGGCTCAATAGAAACAGATCAGTCATTTAATTCCAATTTAAAATGTGTGACTGAGTAGTTGGTTTAGATTTGAGATTTTAAGTTGCAAACTTATGAATTTTATATACTTTATTAATCATTTAGAAGGTCTTAAATTTCACCATATTTATCATTTTAATTTGTTTCCTAAGATTTACCTACTTGGGAAATTTCTGTTAGTCAGACAACTTACAGGCTTAAAAAAGATAAGAAGCATCAAATATATAAATGCATTTCAAAAGGTGTGGGATTGAAAGAGGAATAGAGTAGTTTAAAGTAAATACTGACATACCCAGAAGTATAGAAGGGGACTATCATTGGAGAAGAAAAGTCAGCTCTGCCCAGGAGTAAAAGAAATGAAGTGCTCCATCCCCAAGAGTAACACACTTCCTAAGTCAGGTGACTGTAGGGGTCCCTACCAGGCGGTTCCCTGACTACACACCTTATAGGGAAGTCTAAGTGCCATCTACCGTTGACCCTTGAACAACACAGATTTGAACCATGTGGGTCCACTTATGTATGAAGATTTCCTTCATCTTCTGCCACCCAAGACAGCAAGACCAACCCCTCCTCTTCCTTAGCCCACTCAGTGGGAAGACGATGAGGATGAAGAACTTTATGATGATCTACTTCTTCTTCATGAATAGTAAGTATATATTTTTTTACTTATAATTTTTTTAACATCTTTTCTCTAGTTTACTTTTTTGTAAGAATACAGTACATAGTACATACAACACAACACATGTGTTAACTGACTGTTGATGTTCTTGGTAAAGCTTCTGGTCAACAGTAGGCTATTAGTAGTAAGGCTTTGGGGAGTCAAAAGTTGTATATGGATTTCCAACTGTGCAATGGGTCAACGCCCCTAACCGCCACATTGCTCAAGGTTTGTCTATACTCCTACCTATCTACATGGAGCCGCAGCTGCCCTCTCATTTAGAGATGAGAAGACTACTAAGAAAACAAGACTAAAAGATTCCAGAGGAACCCATGCCACCTGCCTATAATGAACCAAAGTAGTCAATCATTCACAAATATGGATGGACAAATAAGTAAAAGCAGATATTTGGAAAATAAAAAGAAAGAAGAGCCTAAAAGGTCCAAAATAAGCAGATAAACCAATTTCAGGGAAACAAAAATACAAGGAACTTAAGCAAACTTAAACAAGCAGAAAATCCAAATTGGTATCTTCAGAGAGAGTCAAGAGATTATTGCATTTATAAAACAAGAACAAAAAGCTATGAAAAAGTACTGATGAGGCAATGAAATGTCCTTGGAAATTAAAATATACTTGCCAGCATAAAAAAATTCAATGGTCAGCATAATTAATAAAATGAATGTATTTGAAGACTAAAGTGGAGGTTTGTAAACCAAAACAGAAAATGAAAGAAAACAGTCCGGGCACAGTGGCTCAGGTCTGTAATACCAGCACTTTGGGAGGACAAGGTGGGTGGATGACTTGAGGTCAGGAGTTCGAGACCACCCTGGCCAATGTGGTGAAACCCCATCTATACTAAAAATACAAAAAAAATTAGCCAGGCATGGTGGCGCATGCCTGTAATCCCAGCTACTAGGGAGGCTGAGGCAGGAGAATTGCTCGAACCCAGTGGGTGGGTTTCTTTTCTTTATAATTTTCTTTTTTTTTTTACTTTTTTTTTTTTTTTTTTTTTTTGAGATGGAGTTTTGCTATTATTGCCCAGGCTGGAGTGCAATGGCATGATCTTGGCTCACCACAAACTCCGCCTCCTGGGTTCAACTGATTCTCCTGCCTCAGCCTCCTGAGTAGCTGGGATTACAGGCATCCACCACCACGCCCAGCTAATTTTGTATTTTTAGTGGAGATGGGGTTTCTCCATGTTGGTCAGGCTGGTCTCGAACTCCCAACCTCAGGTGACCCGCCCACCTCAGCCTCCCAAAGTGTTGGGATTACGGGCGTGAGCCACCACGCCCAGCCTAAAAAATCACTTTTTTAAATTGTATGCTTTCCTTAGTTTATCAACACAGTAAACCTAATTATTACCATCAAAGTAGACTTAATTTTAGAGAGGATAAAAGATGTTAAGAACTACGAAACCCAATCTTAATTGACAAATTTTAGAATTTCAAAGAATGAGTTTTAAAACATTGCTGAAAATACAACAGAAAAATAAACCTGTAGCACGCAAGTTGAAAAAAAAAATCTATTTGAGACCAAATTAAGAAACTGTAACTGAGTATTTACACACAGCTTAGAAACAGCAGCACTGCCATCATTTTTAGTTGGATATATAAATTAAGTCCTCTGATGATATTTCTTCAAATAACTGGTATCAGAAATAACTTTATTCATTTCTAAATGGCAAAATAATGTTAATTTTAAAATTAGTTTTCTATCTCCATTCTAATAATCTTATCAATAGTCTTTTTATTATGTGCAGGTTTGAAAACACACACCTTCCTCATTCTCAGGTGACTGTTTATCCGGACATCTATTCTGAAACAAACAGAAATACACCAGATCAAATAAAACCCACATTTTCTGGGCTGGGCGAGGTGGCTCACACCTGTAATCCCAGCACTTTGGGAGGCTGAGGCGGGTGGATCATAAGGTCAGGAGATTTGAGACCAGCCTGGCCAACATGGTGAAACGCTGTCTCTACTAAAAATACAAAAATTAGCTGGGCATGGTGGCGCGGGACTGTAATCCCAGCTACTTGGGAGGCTGAGTCAGGAGAATCGCTTGAACCCGGGAGGCAGAGGTTGCAGTGAGCCGAGATCGCACCATTGCACTCCAGCCTGGCGACAGAGCGAGGCTCCACTAAACTAAAAAAAGGAAAAAAGAAAAATCCACATTTTCTGAAGAGTCTACCCTGTTGAAGACCTGAACTGCACCATGCAGCCCCGACCCAACCACCTGTGTTCTCATGTGATGTGTACCTCTACTTCCCAGTCAAGCTCCGGCTTCAGTGTAAAAATTCTTGGCAGTCTGGTGCTTATGTAACTGTTGGAGACATTTTTGACTCTATTGGTCTCCCTCTCTGTTTCTGAATTGTCCCCTCTTTCTCCCGTCATAAATACAAGAGTCACTTTTCCTGCTACCTTTAAACATATAAAAAATAAGATAACATATTTAGTCTGAAAATAACCATTCAATATTTTAAAATTTCAGAAACATATCAAATGACAGCTTCACTTTTACTTCATTGTTGACAATATTCATTTTAGTGAAAAAATTGGTAACGACGAGGGGAGAAGGACAGCATCACTTCCGAGGAATAAGTTTTTTTTTTCTATTTTAAGGGCAATTGTGCATTGCTTCCAAACCCAAATGAGAATCAGTGGAAGTTAGTATTCAAATATGACTGCTTTAAAATTGCATTTTTTGCAAGTGCTTCATTTTCTGGCTGACATCAGCAAATACACATCAGTGAGCTGATGACATTTGATACAAAAGGGACAACTTGTTCACCCAAAAAAGTTGTCAAGTCATACCCTTGGCTCATTTTGCCAAGAGCCAAAGGTGTCAGGCATACCGTATGCCTTCTGTAACGTTGCTGGCTCCCATACTTGGCACACTTGGGGTTGTTTTTGGCAGGCTGATGCGTATCCAACCTACAATTCATTCTGACCCCAAGAGCCAGATCTCATGAAAGTGACCTTGTGGGGAAGCTGAGTGGTAACCCAAGAAATCACTGTGAGTGCTTTTACAGCATTGCCATTTTAAAATATACTTGCCATTTTACAATGATCTTTCAAGAAATGTGAAGAATAGAAAATTTTGCTGTAGGACACTACAATGGGAACACAGACACCAGGGTCCCCTGGAGAGCGGAGGGCGGGAGGAGAGTGAGGATTGAAAAATCGCCTAGAGGGCACTATGCTTATTACGTGGATGACGGAAATAATCTGTACATCTAATCCCTGTGATAGCAATCCTTCCCTATACAGCAAACCTGCACATGTACCCCTGAACGTGAACATTTTTAAAAAGAAAATGTTGGTAAAGCTTGGGCGTGGTGGTTCACGCCTATAATCCCAGCAATTTGGGAGGCCAAGGCAGGCGGATCACTTCAGGCCAGGAGTTCGAGACTAGCCTGGCCAACATGGCGAAACCCGGACTCTACCAAAAATACAAAAATTAGCCTGGCATGGTGGCGGGTGCCTGTAATCGTAGCTGCTCAGGAGGCTGAGATAGGAGAATCGCTTGAACCTGGGAGGTGGAGGTTGCAGTGAGCCAAGATCACACCACTGTACTCCAGCCCAGGGTGACGGAGCAAGACTCTACCTCAAAAAAAAAAAAAAAAAAAAAAAAAAAGTTGGCATATATTATTTTAGACTTAAGTTATCCTACCTTTTAATTTCTCTGACTGAAGCAGTGTAATACACACATGCTACTCGCAGAAAAATGAAAGCACCTTCTTCTTTCTTGCCTTCTGCAGGGTAAGCAAATGTTTGAATTAATTATATTTCTTTCATTATCATTGATTTGAACATTTTTATGTTTTTCTATTTTTATTAAGAGATAAGCTCCTTTGTTCCATTGCCAGAACATTTCCTATTTATTTTATTCAGTGACCTCACATCTTTTTAAGTCTGTGGCATCAAATTATATGTTCACTTTCCCATCCTTGGTTCTGTCTTTTAATTCATGCAACAAATATTTATTGGACATGTCTCCTTTATAAGCCATCACTGTGCTGGGAACTTGGTATGAACAAAATAGATAAAATATAGTCTGCCTTCAATTTAGTAGGGAAGTGGGGATTAAAAAACAAACAATTGTTACATATAATAAATGCCATGAAGGAAAAAGCATCGCATTTATATTTATTTATGTGAGACAGAGTCCTGCTCTGTTGCCCAGGTTGGAGTGCAGTGGTGCAATCTCGGCTCGCCACAACCTCCACCTTTCAGGTTCAAGTGATTCTCCTGCCTCAGCCTCCCGAGTAGCTGGGACTACAGGCGTGTGCCACCACGCCTGGCTAATGTTGGTATTTTTAGTAGAGACAGGGTTTCACTAAGTTGACTAGGCTGGTCTCAAACTTCAGGCCTCGTGATCTGCCCGCCATGGCCTCCCAAAGTGCTGGAATTACAAGCGGGAGCCACGTGACCGGCCCTAAAAGAATGGCATTTATTTACCAACTTTTGAGGTATTCCTCTGGTTTTTTAAACACGATTTCACCTAGCTTATTTTTTTTTTCTCCACCATTTTCTCTGCCATAATCAGGATGTGAAATACAAAATCCTGCCTTTACCCTTGGACCTTGTCTTTCCTCTTCTAGAGGAACTTTCACTTCCTAACCAGGAACTGACAGACATCATCCTTACCGCCTCTTGCCTTTAACCCATATTATTTTAACCCAAGGACCTCAAATCTAGACACTTTTCTCAGATCACAACCTTTTATATTTTCACCCTATCTGCTGCTTCTTTTAAAATAAACCTACACTTAGCTTTTCCCATGATCTCTAACCCTCTGCAGTGTCTTCAGTCCATTAACCTCCCGGAATCACCTGCTTTTCTCCCTGGCTGACTTCCCAAGGACTAGAACTTCAACAGCTCAGTCTTTGGCAACAAAGAAGCCCTCACTCCTTAACTATCTTTGGCTCCTAGCTACTAACCCTGAAAAGCATGTTAGACATTTTCTCTGGGGTTACTGCAAATTGCTGGAGAATGTCCATACATAACACTTTATCCAGTTTCACCCTGACCCCACCGTAATGCTTATGATTATTTTACAATAGACTCTTCTTTCTCCTTCTTCTGCCTCTCTCACATTGCCTTCTTCATTTTCCAAGGACCTCATTTCTACTGCAACAAGGCTGATGGGAACCATTATGGAATCTACTCAAAATCTTTTGTCATTAACCACAGGAAACCCTTTACATATTTATCTATGTGTTCCGCTACCCTCTAATTCTTAATTCTTTCAAACCCTAGACCTCTGTATTTGTCCTATCTTCTACTTTCTCCAGAAATTTGTTCTGTGTCTACAAATATACCTACACGTTCCCTCAACTCACTTCTCCTCAAGTGATTGTGGCCATACTTCCTCCTTCTAGAAGGAGGCTATATTTGCTTGTTTCTACTTTCATCACCCACACGCTCCTTATAACTCACTGCATCTGTGCCTGACTTCCACCATCCTCTTGAAACTCCTCTCCCAAGATCACAATTAAATGCCTGCTTGCTGAATTCTGTTTTGGCCCCCTGGCTGTCTCTTCTCTTCCTCCTGAAATGTTCTGCACCCTTACTTATCAAAGTGTGAAGCAGGACCCTGTTTCTTGTCTGACCTCCTTGACAACTTATCACTTTACTTTTCCTTTTTTTAGAGATGGGGTCTCGGTCTGCTGTCCAGGCTGGAGTACAGTGGCACAATCATAGCTCACTGCAGCCTCCAACTCCTGGGCTCAAGCGATCCTCCCACCTCGGCCTCCCAACACTTATCATTTTTATATGCAGCCTCTTAACACGTGAGAATTCCTCAGTTACCCTTCTTCTCCCCCTATACCTGGGGTCACAAATGTCAACCATGAGCATAACCTGGCTTCCAGATGGGTTCTGTTTGACCTACAGAGTGAGGTTGTTAATTTTTACTGAAGCCAACACTTACAAATTAGGAGGTGTTACTTAAAATTGGGACTTCCAGTTTGTCTTGAAAACTAACTCACACCAGCTATGGAATAAGGATAGAAGAAAGTAGAATGTGAAATTGATATAAATGGCTATTACATGGCAAAGTAATAATGAAAGACTGTCTTCTTTCATGACTTAGGAATCAAAAGATACGTTCATTGCAGATTTCGAGGATTTGTGCTGAGATATTATTGAGTTAATTTTCTCTGTATTCTGTTCTCATTTTTGTCATACTTAGCCAAATCTCCACTTCAACAGCCCCAGTTACATGTTTTACCTTATATTATTCTCCAATCTTATTTCAAAAAGGATCTGCTTCAGGGTCCTTCAGTTTACTTTTCCTCTGAATATTGAACTTAACCAATAAAAGCTGCCTTATGAAACAAGTGACATAATAAAACAATAGATAATGTAAGCTTTAAATTCCAAATTCTGTCTCAGCCTCATAGCATTTACTGTCCATGAAGTAGACGACATTTATTTCCTGTAACCCAAAGGCTTTCCTTGTTCTTAATTTTTAAAGTGATGAAGTTCCCACAGGGGAGAATATAAGAAAGGGAATGAGATAAAGGTGGAAACATGGAAGAATTGGAATAAGAAAAATCATTTTCATTCATTCTTCTTTTTACTTCCTTGTATAAGACACAAAAATATATGTTTGGCAGTAATGAGTCCTAAACTTCTATTTCTCAAAGTTGACATTTCAATTTCCATTACATCTTATTCCAAGAATAATGCACACATCTTTCTGCAGAGGAAATAAAAAGTGGGATTGAAATGTACAGCATGACCTGTGAGGAAAGGGACCGCCCCTGTTTTAATTAAGGAAGAGCAGAGAGAGAGATTTCTTCATGCTTATTTAATTATGTTGAAATGTTATCCCACAAACCGTAAGTTTTAAACTCCTAATAGCATCGAGCTAACATTCTTGCAAGATTTACTTATGTTTTGGAAATAGAGCTTTATACAGAATACAGAGAGGATGATCGCCTGTGCAGCGGCAGGCAAAGTCAAGGTTGTGTTCGCTGCCTTTGGTTCCTTGCCTTGGTGTTTCCCTAGCCCACGAAGCCTGGTTGCCAGGCAACCAGGGCAGCTTTGCTGAATATAGATATTAACAGGTTTAGGTTACATTGGGAAAAAAAAATGGAGTGAAAAAGAGCACAGGCTTATCCTTCACCTGGAAATTTGGGGAAACAAACAATGTTTTCAATGCAATATTTGAAACAAAATGTATTTAATACCTTTCTTAAATGTGCTGAATACTTTTTTTAAGCTCCACAACTCTTAGGTGGTATAAACATAGTTCATTTCCTCATTTGAGATAATATACTTGCCCATTGTGTATTGAGAAATAAACTTGTCCACTGCCACCATGACTTGCAATTCTACGTATGAAAACACTGATTAGGCCGGGTGAAGTGGCTCACACCTATAATCCTAGCACTTTGGGAGGCTGAGTCAGGAGGCTCGCTTGAACCCAAGAGTTTGAGACCAGCCTGGGCAACATAATGCAACCCTATCTCTACAAAAGATTAAAACATTAGAAGGATGTGGGGGTGCAAGCTTGTAGTTCTAGCTACTCAGGAGGGTGAGGTAGGAGGATCGATGGAGCCTGGAAGTTTGAGGCTGCAGCGAGCTGTGACTGTGCTACTGCACTCCAGCCTGGATGACAGAGCAAGACTCTGTCTCAACAAGCAATACTAATAAAAAATAAAAACACTGGCGGTTTTTCTAGATCTTGAATAAATTTTAATCTCATATAATGTTGCATAATGTCAAAACTCTTACACAGACATCATTTTCTTTGCAATTCATTGTCTGAGGTGGGTAGGACAGGTTTAACGCTCCCCCACTGAACGGACTGGAAAACAGACTTCATGAAGATAAGTAACTAGTGCCACAACTAGTCAAGGGCAGCGCTGGACACGCACCCCCAAGGACAGCCTGCCTTAACAGGTGTTGCCTCTCAGTATTTTTTCCAGGATAACTGAAAAAGTAGCAGAAAATGAAAACCTTCATATGGGTTGCCTTCATACGGGTTGCACAGCTTCTAAGAATTCAGTACTGGCTCTTATGAAGAGAAGTAAGTGACATCTGAGACACGTGGCCCTGGATTGTGTTTCTTTTTTCTCCCTTTTTTTTAATTTTCTTTTGGTTTGAGATGGGGCCTTGCTCTATCACGCAGGCTGGATTGCAGTGGCGTGATCATGGCTCACTGCAGCCTTCCCAACCTGGGCTCAAGCGAGCCTTCTATCTCAGCCCCCTGAGCGGCTGGGAACAAAGGCGTGCACCACCATACTTGACTAACTTTTAATTATTATTTGCAGAGATGACGTCTTACTATGCTGGCCAGGCTGTTCTTGAACTCCTCAGCTCAAGTGATCCTCGCACCTTGGCCTCCCGAAGTGCTGGGATTACAGGGATGAGTCACCATGCCTGGCCTTCTCCCTTTCTTAAACATTTCTCACATCCTTATCTTTTTGCCAGCACTCCCGCACAGCCATGAGAGAAAAGCAAAAACAAGAATAAACTGTCTATTCCTTCAACTCCAAAGGTGACACCAGTAGCCAACAAGGACATCCTCCACTGTGAGTGCCACCATGAGACTAACGAGTCTAAGGAGACCCCCGTGAAGCTTCAGAGTTTAAAGGACAGCTGATTACAGGTGTGAAACTATAAAAGAGCTTTATGAAGAGAGATGCGATCTCTGTTCAGCACAGATTACACAAAACTGCAATATGCCTGCAAGTCTAGAAAAGTCTACTGCACACCTGTCATTTGCATTTTAGTTTTATTTTTTATTTTTTATTTCCATAGGTTTTAGGGAACAGGTGGTGTTCGGTTACATGAGTAAGTTTCTTTAGTGGTGATGTGTGAGATTTTGGTGCACGCATCACCTGAGCAGTATACACTGAACCCAACTTGTAGTCTTTTATCCCTCACCCCCTTCCCACCCTTTCCCCCTGAGTCCTCAAAGTCCATTATGCCATTCTTATGCCTTTGCATCCTCATAGCTTAGCTGCCACTTACGGTTGAGAACATATGAATATAATGTTTGGTTTCCCATCCCTGAGTTACTTCCCTTAGGATAACAGTATCCAATCCCATCCAGGTTGCTGTAAATGCCATTAATTCATTCCTTTTTATGTCTGAGTAGTATTCCATTGCGTACATATCGCACAGTTTCTCTATCCACTCGTTTATTGATGGGCATTTGGGTTGGTTCCACATTTTTGCAATTGCGAATTCTGCTGCTATAAACGTGCATGCAAGTATATTTTGTATAATGTCATTCACATTTAAATACAGGCGCTATCGCTTCTGCTGCTGCTATGCTGCAGATCTGCAAGCAGCTTGGAAGACTGCTACAGCAACAAAGCGCCCCCCGACCCACCCCTGACCCCATCAAACTTCCCTGGACTGCTGCTATTCAGGTTCTGGGCATCACTGGGACAATATCTCAAAGTCTGTTCTACAACTTTGACTGCTAAATGAGTGATTTCATTTTGATTTCTTTACGTCAAGTTGGGAGGCCTGATGTGGGCAATTTTGATAAATCAATTACTATGCTATTTCTTCATTCTGCTTGGTAAGACTTTTCCTCCTAGTCTTTCTTAAGGCTATGTTTACTTTTATAGAATGCATAATTTGGGTTATTTTCTTGGGTTCCAGGAAGTGTGACATATTCATCTCCTTCCTATGTATTAGAAACAGGCGGCTGGGCGCGGTGGCTCATGCCTGTAATCCCAGCACCCTGGGGGGCCAAGGTGGGAGGATCACGAGGTCAGGAGATCGAGACCAGCCTGGCCAACATGGTGAAACCCCGTCTCTACTAAAAATACAAAAATTAGCTGTGCGTGGTGGCAGATGCCTGTAATCCCAGCTACTCGGGAGGCTGAGGCAGGAGAATCATTGGAACCCAGAAGGCGGAGGTTGCAGTGAGCTGAGATTGTGCCACTGCACTCCAGCCTGGGTGACAGAGCAAGACTCCATCTCAAAAAAGGAAAAAAAAAAAAAAGAGAGAAAGGCTTAGTGGATTTACCTGAACAGCTTGTTTCGTTTGTTTTTGCGACAGGATCTCGCTCTGTTACCCAGGCTGGAGTGCAGTGTCATAATCATACCTCACTGCAGCCTCAAACTCCTGGGCTCAAATGATCCTCCCACCTCAGCCTCCTGAGTAGCTGGGACTGCAGGCATGTGCCACCATGTCCCGCTAATTTTTGTGTTTTTTTGTAGAGCGGGGTCTTGCTATGTGGCCCAGGCTGGTTTCAAACTCCTGGCCTCAAGCAATCTTCCCACCTCAGCCTCCTAAAGTGCTGGGATTACTGTGGAGCTTGTTTATCAAGGCAGAAAAGATGCCAGAACCATGTCATTCACCTGTTGGGGCTTTCCTTCGTGCTATCAGAGAGCGCAAAGTCAGCTCACGTCACTCCCCTGGTTTGACTTGGGAAGTTAATAACAACGATAAATGTAAAAGTTCAGAAACAGCAAATGGTGTCAGGATTAAAATCACCAAACTTCTGTGGTGCCAGGAACACTGCTACGTTTGCACTTCCGAACACGAGTCCCCTTTTTGAAAAGGAGTGGTGGTTTTCTCTCTACCTTGAGAGTCTCCATCTCACTTTCACTTTTGGGTAACATGCAAGTTAAAATAGCGTTCTTTCCTCACTCATTTTCTTGGGAACTGACACTAGTCCTTAGGAAATCCTATCTTTCTTTTTTCCCCAGAGTACTCTGAATATTCTGTTACTTTTTTTCCCAGAAGTCAATGCATCATTGTTGATTTGGATTGCGCTTTTTATTTTTATTTTTTTGAGATGGAATCTCGCTCTGTTACCCAGGCTGGAGTGCAGTGGCACGATCTCAGTTCACTGCAATCTCTGCCTCCCGGGTTCAAGCAATTCTCATACCTCAGCCTCCCGAGTAGCTGGGATTACAGGTGCCCACCACCATGCACGGCTAATTTTTGTATTTTTAGTAGAGATGGGGTTTCACTATCCTGGCCAGGCTGGTCTTGAACTCCTGACCTCGTGATTCACCCGTCAGATTGCATTTTTTAAAGGTGTTAATTGCCAAAAGGCATAACAAACACCTAGAGTTTTGAAATACGTTGTCATTGCTGTAATAGGTTCTGTTAGTTTTAGTAACATAAACACAAATGTATTTTAGACAAGGTGATAGTATTTCCAATGATCTCTTTATTTCACATCACTTTTGCTGATAAGACTTACTTTTTATCTTGGCTTAGTAGAAGTAGCAGCAATGAAATTTCAGGAGTGTAGGAGTCAACTTGTTACCCAAGGCACAGCAACAGACATACAGAGATATTAATACACAACACCGCTGGGCGTGGTGGCTCACGCCTATAATCCCAGCAGTTTGGGAGGCCGAGGTGGGCAGATCACCTGAGGTCAGGAGTTTGAGACCAGCCTGACCAATAGAGTGAAACCTCATCTCTACTAAAAATACAAAAATTAGCCAGGCATGGTGATGCACGCCTATAATCCCAGCTACTTGGGAGGTTGAGACAGGACAATCACTTGAACCCGGGAGGTGGAGGTTGCAGTGAGCCGAGATAGTGCCATTGCACTCCAGCCTGGGGAAGAAGAGTGAAACTCCGTCTCAAAATAAAAAAAAAAAAAGAAATGCAACATGCATTCACTGGGTAGAGGCTCTACCTATGAAAGTGGTGGAGAACAGGGTCGGAAATTTAGATTGAGACTGACTATAGATGTTCCTGAAGGCCAGACTAAGAAATCTAGATTGGCATCAGAGGTGATTTTAAGTAGCATGGTCCAGCATAATCCCAGCTGCTCTTTCTCGTGACATCTCTTATCATCAATATACATATTCTTTGCATTCTTATGATTCATTCTCACAACCATCAGCAACATGAGTTATAATGATCTCCATTTTGCAGGTGAAGAAAGTTTTTTTTTATTTTTATTTTTTGAGACAGGGTCTGACTCTGTCACCCAGTCTGGAGTGCAGTGGTGCGATCACTGCTTACTGCAGCCTCAACCTCCCAGGCTCAATTGATCCTCCCACCTCAGCCTCCTGAGAAGCTGGGAGTAAAGGTATATGCCACCATGCCTGGCTAATTTTTGTATTTTTTGTGGAGATGGGGTTTCACCATGTTGCCCAGGCTGGGAAAGTGACCTTCAAAGAGACTAATTAGTATATCCAAAGTCACAAAACTGATGCCTAAAGCCAGAGTAGGCCAGAGGTGCAGCCACGCTCCCGCTCCCCTTCTCCACTGAATTTCTGAGTAACCACAGTGGAGCTTTTCCTTGGGAAAACTCACACTTTCCCAGGCCCTACTTCTTCCTACTCCTTCCCACCATGATCATCCACCCGTACTCTGTTATGACAATTAGAGTGAGCATGCCATGTATTGTCCAATCCAGAACACTTCTGAGAAAGAAAGAGAACTATTAAGAATTGTGGGCAAGAGGCATTATATGCGACTTCTGGTGCTCCTAGTTTTAATGAATTCTTGCAAAAGGGTTAATATTTACTTGGTAACTTTTTTTTTCTTTTTTTATTTTATTTTTTTCTTTTTATTTTTTCTTTTATTTTTTATTTTTTTTTTTTTAGTATACTTTAAGTTTTAGGGTACATGTGCACAACGTGCAGGTTTGTTACATGTGTATACATGTGCCATGTTGGTGTGCTGCACTCATTATTTACTTGGTAACTTGATTTGAAGCCTCTCACAGTGCAATCTCTCCAACCTTTTCTCCAAAGGCACTATCCCTGAGCTCGTCTCCATCTAAGAGCTCAAAGGTGTGCCCACACAGCCCATACAGCAGTTTTTGCAGAGTGGAAGAAACCCGCCATTCTTATTACCTCTGCTTTACCTCTTACCTTTAAATGAGGGATTATCCATCTGCCCCTCTCACAGTGCAGTTGAACTACAAGAAGGTGGCATGTTTTCTCTGAAAGGTCCGGTGACCTGCTGGTCAAGACATCTAATGTCCACCAGGGCTGCAACTCACAGCCAGCCTGCACTAAGGCTGGAGTAGTGGAGACAAAATCCCCAAACCGGATATAGACCCAGATCTCTTGGAACTGGCTATGAGTTGGTAACACATTGCACATTGTATCACCTCTTGATTTTAGGGAATGATTCACAACTGGTTCTCCCATTCCTGGGCCCTTACGGCCTCACCTGTGGCATTTAAAATGATCTATGACATAGATCAACATTTTCTCCTAGAAATTTCACACTGTACATTCTCTTCATTGTTTAGTCTGGATATAGTGATCTCAAGGTTAGGTTTTTTTTTTTTTGAGACAGAGTTTCGCTCTTTCGCCCAGGCTGGAGTGAAATGGCGTAATCTCGGCTCACTGCAACCTCCGCCCCACCGGATTCAGGTGATTCTCCTGCCTCAGCCTCCCGAGTGGCTGGAGTTACAGGCGCCCACCACCATGCCCAGCTAATTTTGGTATTTTTAGTAGAGATGGGGTTTTGCCACATTGGCCAGGCTGGTCTTGAACTCCTGACCTCAGGTGATCCACCAATCTCAGCCTTCCAAAGTGCTAGGATTACAGGCGTGAGCCAGTACGCCCAGCCTCAAGGTTAGGTTTTAAATGATATTTTTCCTGCACTGTCTCGAGTTATCTCTTTTTACCTTCACCCACATAGAAAAAGCAAAAGTTCAGCAAGACACTTAGTAACTTGGGGGGCATTATTTGATTCTCCTTCCCTTTCTTTATCCACATTCTTCGGCCTTCACTCCATGATCGTCAGACTCAGAAATACCTGGGCTAGATGCCCAACCCAGGAGGAAGCACATTTGCGCTGCAGGGTGAAGCACTTCTGTGGAGGGATAGTGCACTCCAATGCACTTTAATCCCTCCCTCCACATAAGAACTAGAGTTGTTATCACAGCAAAACGGAAGAGAGATGTTCCACCAGCTGAAAGCTCATCTCACCTAAAATCTGGGCTCAAACCCAAGGGGAAGAAGGTAGAGAGCAGGGAGTGGAGCAGCCCTGGGCTCAGGTTGGTTCTGAATCCCTCTCCTGTCTTCTCCGTGGAGGAATTCAGTCGGCCTGGAAATGTTTAATTATCTATGGATGGTGAGAAACTTTTCTTTTTTTAAAGACATGGTCTCACTCTGTCATCCAGGCCGGAATGCAGTGTCATGATCATAGCTCACTACAGCCTCCAACTTCTGGGCTCAAGCAATCCTTCTTCCTCAGCCTCCTGAGTAGCTGGAACTACAGGCATACAGCCACCACACCCGGCTATTAAAAAAAAATTCTTCTAAATGTTTTTGTAGAGGCAGGGTCTTGCTGTGTTGCCCAGGCTGTTCTTAAACTCCTGGGCTCAAGTGATCCCCTACCTTGGCCTCCCAAAGTGCTGGGATTATAGAAATCTGCCATTGTGCCTGGCCTGAGGAATTTTTAAAGGATTATGATGTGCTTCAAAACTGATGAAAATCTGGATTAAAGGAAACATATTGAATAGAAGTGCTTGGAATGGAATGGAGAAGGGAAGTTAGCAATTGGTATGAAGGCTGCCATGGTGTCTAGTAGATACAAGACGATAAATCCCCGAATTCATGTTATAGCAGTAGGATTGGAAAAGAAAGGGCAGACAAAAGGAGGAAACGATTTTAACAAATTACTTTTATGCGCTGGCACTACAATACATACTTTTTACATGTTGTTTTAAAAAATACTCCTACAGGAAAAGTGTTATTATCCTCATTTTACAGATGAATGACGGAAACCTTAGTGGTTAATAATTTGTCCAAAGTCAACAACTACTAGCAGAATCAGGATTTAAACTCAGAATCTGCCTCTACCGCACATACTTTCTCACTATAATACATTGTCTGCAATGCTCTCGATGTTGTATGAGAAAATAATTTTGTTTCCAGGATCAGAAATGAGAAAGAGGAAAGAAGGGTAAATGGGCCAGTTTTGAGATAGGAACTGATGACTTGTTCCCTTTTAAATCTCTAAGTACCCTGTAAGTTTGAACTTTGATTTTTAAAAGGTACACATTTGAATATTAAATATAATCGGTAGTGGCAGGCTGTATACAAACACATACTTCCTAATGCTTTATGGCTGGCTAGTGAATATTCATATTCACTGAAGCCACCTGGTGTGATCTCTCAGGTTTCCCTAGACATAGAGTTATCTATTAAAAAAAATATATCTATATGCTTATTAATTTATTGGAGAAGAAAATACTCTCTCAACGTATGAGTGTCTGGAAAAATCTTCATGGCTGTGAGCGTAAGTAAATAGCGTATCTGTATCACCAGACACACTATGATTTCCTGTCAAGTGTGAGTAAAGTTGAAAAAATTAAAATCTTCAGAGATGTTTGAACAAGTTCAGTAAACCTAATGTAATCCAGAAAGGGAACAAAGGAGAGTAACAACAGGGAGCTCTTTCTGATGACAGTGGCAAACATTCAGAGAATAAAAAAGAAAAATATAAAATCAGATATTTTTAGAAACTGTTATTGTCGGAAAGACCAGTAATCTAGATGTTGCAGTGAAACCTGCATATCAAATTAGGTAAAAGCAACAAGAGATAGATCTCTGATAAAGTCATAACTTAAAGCCATTCAGTTTGAAAAAAATTCATCAAGACAGATACAGTGATCACGGAGGGTAAAAAAAAAAAAAAAAAAAAAAAAAACACGCAAAAAGAATAGTGATTTTTGACAACTGGAGAGAGACATCTACATGGAAATAACATTCAATGACCAAGGAAAGGTGATGGACTTCTGTCCCTGGCAGAACCCTTTCCTTTTCCCCTTCAAAAATGAGTCAATGTCTCATCGTCTATGCAGTATGTTTAATTGTCATTGTTAGTCTTTTAGCCAATTTCTAGTAACATCTACTTTTATAATATAATAACATGCACATACTTAATGTATTTGCTAGGAGTATCTCAATCAAGAAACAGAAAGCAAACTCCAAAATTCTGAGTTCTTATTTAATCTCTAGCATTCTTTGTTATGTGAACCTAAGTCACTCATTTATGTTCTTTACAGCTTCCCTTCATTTTCTTAAATGGTATTAGTGTCTTATGACACATAATAAAAAACATTAAGAACAACCAATGAAATGTACCATATACAAGTAATCATTGTTATATGTAGGACCATAGATATGGAACACTGGGAGGTTCAGTGTGACTGATTTCAGTTCCTGAGAATTAAAAGAACAGCAAGAGAGTTTGCCTAGCATCAGGATCCTAAGTGGAGTCCATTATTTTTGTATTGCCAAGGCAAAGTGACTTTTCAACAAACTTGGTTAGTGTGGTATAAAGTCAGGTCTACAGCCATTAGGGGTCTATGCAGTTGTCATGAACAAGTGGAAGCAGGATCATGTCTCAAAAAACAGGAAGGATTTTTATACTCAAAGAATATATGGAGATTCTATAATAAAGTTTGGAATTGTGCACCATTTTCTAACAAAAAGTATGCATTGTTATTGGAAGTGCTGTGTCCTATTAGCCTGTATCCTTAAATCCCCCCTTTTAATACTATCTTTAATATTAAAATTGCTCCTAACTTCTCTTATTATAAAACACCATAATACTCATTTGTAAAACTGCCTCAATATCGGTAAAAAAATAAAAATAACAAAATTATCAACTCTTCAGGGCTGCTTATGAAGCTTGACTGTGTCAGGGTGATGAGATGGGCGTCTGCAGTGCTCTGCCCCCTCTCTCCTGTCACCTATAACCTTCATTGGCAGGCACTGGTGTGCACCTTCTTACGAAGTTCCTACATGTCAGAATTCTCTGGGGATTTGAACAGAGGAATTGAGGACTGTCTTGGAATCCCCCATGAAGAACTACTAAAGATATGCAAATACATACAAGAGACACAGGAAACTGAAAGAATGACACTACGATTCAGCCATATTAGCCTTCTGGCCATTCCTCACATTCTGGGCAGACTCCTGCCTTTGCATCTGAGCATTTTTCCTTTGCAGGGAATGCTTGAGTCCCACATTTCCCCGTGGCTGACTCTGTTACCTTCTTCAAGTCTCTGCTCAAATAGGTTTAACCAACCAATTGGCAACACCACCTCTCAATTCCTGGCACTTCCTAACCCCTTCCCTGTTCTATTTCATTCACCATCTTATGTACTACTTAGGTATTTGCTTTTTGTCTTTCTCCCTTCCCTAGAATGTAAGCTCTATGATGTTGGAGATTCTCAAGGATCTTTTTCACTGCGTCCTCGGTACCTAGAGGATCATAGAAGAGGCACTCTGTGAACATTTGTTGAATGAATGTCGAACCCTTGTACCAGGATGATCTGATAAGCCTCAGCACATCTCAGAGAACATGCTGGTTGCTATCATCTTTTCCATTGCACAGAGAGCTACACTGTCAAGCAGTTTAACCAGTTGCCTAGATACCACTCTGACCAGGCATGAACAGGAGAAAGAAGGTGGTGGTCCACTCTGGGGCTTGCAGTGTTCCACAAGATGTGTTCATGTTTATCACATGGAGTGAAGCAGGTCTCGGAAACGTGCCCGAGGGGCCAGGGAGGAAGAGTTACATGATCTTCTGTCACCACTGGGAAGTTTACTATGTGGTTAAAGAGACAAGGGGAATCATTTTATTCTCCTCCTGAACTCAAGTCTAAATAAATATCCAAATGGAAACTGGCCAGTGGCAAAAGCAGGAAGACCAGATACATTTCACTTCACATAGCCAAAAAATGCAGGGAAACGTCATTCAATACCTAAAAAACCGTGACTGGTGAAAACTGAAGCAATGATCAACATTTCAAAGTCTCTCTCTCTATGCCCTAAAGTCAAACTAAGGAATTTTATCATAGTCATTAACATGAATGATTGGACCACTGCATAATCAGCACACACCAACCAAATGACTGTATTCTCTGTAATATGGCAGTCATTAAACTCATAACTCATCTTTGGACAAACCTGGTACAGAGGCATTTTGTAATAGTGTGGGATACACCGGGGAATTTTTAACCTGAGGAAATGAAACTATGCTGACTCTCTTGAAATAAGTGCTCCTAAATTTTTAGCCAACAACTTGAACTTTTCAAAAAATATTAGCATAATTGAGTATGAAGTAAACCCAACCCAAGGGTAGAGTCTGAGCTTAATGTTTCAAGTTTTGCTTTCATGGTAGAAACATGCCATTAGGCAGGCACTAGTTTGACAGAATTAATCTTTTAGGAGTATTAATCAGATGAAGGAGGGGATGTACTTCTGAAACGACTCTTTTCTTTAATGTTTATGTGCTGGCAGAAAGTAGCAAACTCACATTTGGACATCAGAACTAGCCCTTGGACCCATCCGTATAAGGAGGGAAAGAAACTCACCAGTTAGGCCAAAGGTTCCTGAATCATATCTCTTGGTTTTACTAAGAGGAAGTGAAGAATCAACGATAACAATAATATGAAGACAAAAAGTATCCATTATTAAAAGCGAATTAACTTCAAAAATTTTGTCAATTTTTCTGAAATAATTTTGAGAGTTGTGTTTCAAACTAAGGTACACCTCTTTTAATTAAGTACTCTTAAAGAATAACTGTCTATAACAGAAAAAAGCCACAATAACCATTTTTAGACAAATATGGTGCTATTTCATATAAAGTAAGAATAACCTAATTGGTGAATTTCAAATTAAGGTAGTAAACGTTATCTCTTGACCAAAAAGATGGAATTATTTATTTTTCCTACATTATTGCCAAAAAACCATAATGATGATCTAATAATAAATTCTATGATGAGTATGGTCGAGGTTGCATGGGCTGGTGGTAAAAAATTTGGTGTTTAGACACACAACTTTCTGTACAGAATAGAAAGGAATCCATTTGCCTGTTAATTTTAATGTATCAAGCTCACTTAACATGATAGCAGGAAACTAAAGCCCTTATTTTTTAAGAGTTTACAGATTGTTCTCGTTATTCTGAGCTCAATCTGGTAGGTTTTGTGTTTTTGGTAGGAAACTACCTTAAATCTATATATATAATTTTATTTTATTTTGAGATGGAGTCTCACTCTGTCTCCCAGGCTGGAGTGCAGTGGCCCGATCTCAGCTCACTGCAACCTCCACCTCCTGGGTTCAAGCGATTCTTCTGCCTCAGCCTCCTGAGTAGCTGGAACTATAGGCACTCGCCACCAGGCCTAGCTAATTTTGGTATTTTTAGTAGGGACGGGGTTTTACCATATTGGCCAGGCTGGTCTCGAACTCTTGACCTCGTGATCTGCCCGCCTCGGCCTCCTAAAGTACTGGGATTACAGGCGTGAGCCACTGCACCCAGCCACCTTGAAACAATATTAAGGAGTCAAATTTGATTAGGATTAACATGCCGTTGTTATTACTGAAATGTTAAACTTTATACATGTCTATCATTGATTGAGGGCAATTACTTAGATACGTAAAATTAAGAAACAGCTATGCTATCTTGTTTCCAAGGAAAAAAGGAACACACCAACAATATCACTGAATAATGAAAATCACATATTCTACCCTTAACATTTGACTTACCCCAAAAAAGAAATCTAGGCAATCTTTACTCAACACAAACAGTTTTGGAGTTGAAAACATGTTAAAATCATAACCTTGACTTTGTATGAATGCACTTTAAATTCTGTGTGTGTATGCAAAGGTGAAGCAAACCTAAAAACCTAAAAATGGCAAAACAAACTGAGTGTTTACATGTCTTATAGTTCATATTTTAGCAAGCACTCCACCGTGACTTTGCCAAAGGATTTCTAACACTTACAAAGATATTTATATGCTTTTCTAAGACAAATGCTTTCTGAAGGTTTTCCAAATACTCTTACCAACATGAAACAACTAGATGTCTTTAAGTTCTTAAAGCATGTGTTTCTGCTTAAAATATACTTTTTAAGAGATATAAAATCAACATCTACTTACCCAGGAGACATTTTTGCCCTTAGGTGATTTTGGCATGGCAACATACAGTACTGAAGCGGTCAACAATAGTTTCACCAACATGGAAAATCCAATGGAGTATATTTCCAAACGTCTTTGTTACCCAAATGCAAAAAGTTCTCTGGTTTGCCAGACACAGATATCATAAGTAACAGCGAAAGTAACCTTCCCATAGCCCATCTTCCTTCTGGGCATTAAGCACGTGAACACACACATCACAGATTGCTACTCTGATCACTATGGAGGCAGAATCTGCAACATGTTATCTTCTGTATAGCCACAACATCCGAAGTGGAGTAGTCCCTTGAAAAAATTAAAACTTCAGTCCACGTGGAAACGTCCAAAATCACAGAGGTGTTCCTCTCTCGGCTGTTCAATTGCAATTCCCAATTACTCTCCAAGCTTTAATAAGAAGCTTGGTAGCTACCACTTACAATTACTAATAAGAAAAATAATGAGAGCAAGGAGCATGTGGGAGCTCTTGTAGATTAGCTGCTGTTGGCATCCATTTTAGGAGGCACTAGTGCCGCTCAGAGGATAAAGATAATTCAGGGCTCAGTTTCAATAAATAATACATAGTCTCAGGTACAATGAGTACCTGTAAGTACCTTCTGCGCAGCCTCACGACGTAGGTTATCGCTCTCCCTGCAGTTCCAGAAGCTCACTGCGCACCTGTTGTTGATGAAACCGCTCCATGAAAGGCTGGTATCCTAACAACCAGGGACATTTGTTTATAAGGTAAGAAAAATAGAAGCCCCAAAGGGGACCAAATTAGAAGCCCCAGACGGAAGAGCAAGGCTGGAAATGAGTGCTGGCGCTCCGCCCTTTGTTCCTGTGCCCTTGCGTTCCTCTCCTTTTACCTCCTGTCAATCTAGATTAACAGCGCAGATCCAGGCTAAATTTTGCTACTATCAGTAGTGATTAGTGTGAGTTGATGAAATCGGATTATACAGGCGGACCTCTGCCTTCCCCCTCAGCAAGCAACACCGTGTGATTAGAAAGCCTGTTGTCCTTCTCTTCACCGGAGTGAAGCATTCTGGAAGGTTCTGCTGGAGGGAATATGCTACCAAGAAAACATTTGGCCACCAGAAGCTGCTCAGAAACAAATAGAGGTGGAAGGAACCATCTATTTCACTTTTTACTTTTTCTTCCAAATTCTGATGTTCTTTTAGATTGAAAGGTCAGTTACAACAGAAGAAATGCATGTTATTATTTTATTTCATTGAGTTTTTTTCTTCCTGGGAGAATGGTCACTTTGACCAAGAGATTGAGGTGATGGGAGGTGACAGAGGGAGCCAGAAACTGGATGTCACTTTTCTTGAGCTTCTATTATATGCACAAAGACATTTATATATACTCAGCCTCAAGCAATCTGGGAAATAGGTATTAACATAAACACTTTAAAGAAAAGGAGGCCAGGCTCAGTGGCTCATGCCTGTAATCCCAGCATTTTCGGAGGCCGAGGTGGGCGGATCACCTGAGGTCAGGAGTTTGGGACCGGCCTGACCAACACGGTGAAACCCCGTGTCTATAAAAATACAAAAATTAGCCAGGCATGGTGGCGCGCGCTTATAGTCCCAGCTACTTAGGAGGCTGAGGCAAAAAAAAAAAAAAAAAAAAAAAAAAAGAAAAAGAAAAAAGAAAAAAACTTTAAAGAGAAGGAAATTAAGATACAGAGATGTCATATACCTCTCAAAAAAGATCTATTAAGTCAAAGGAGTGCTTTTTAGACTCTTCTCTCACTGAAATCAAATGGCATCTGGATTTTTTTCTTTCAGTCTCTTTCAACCTACTCTAAAAGAATTGCTCATCTATATATTTTTAAAGGACCATATGTTGCCCTTATGTGTCTAAGAATTCTTTGGAATTATGGTTCCTACTTATTTTAAAAATAATAATGTTCCAGGACTCCTCAAAAAACATATTTTGGAGTAAAATTTTATAAAGGATAGAACAACTAAAGGGGGCCACACAGCTAAACGTCACGTAAATATCAGTGCTATCAGCAGGGGCTTAAGCCACTGATAACTCTGTGCCATCCATCCATCCAGCATCTACAATTATAATAGCTACCATTTGCTGAAAATGTTCTCTGTGGTAAGTATTTTACATTTTTAAAAATCTTACTCAAAATGAAGACAACTTTGGCCGGGCGCGGTGGCTCATGCCTGTAATCCCAGCACTTTGAGAGGCTGAGACGGGCAGATCACGAGGTCAGGAGATTAAGACCATCCTGGCTAACTGGGTGAAACTCCATCTCTACTAAAAATACAAAAAATTAGCTGGGTGTGGTGTCAGGCACCTGTAGTCCCAGCTACTCGTGAGGCTGAGGCAGGAGAATGGCATGAACCCGGGAGGCGGAGCTTGCAGTGAGCCGAGATCACGCCACTGCACTCCAGCCTGGGCAACAGAGTGAGACCCCATCTCAAAAAAAAAAAAAAACAAAACAAAAAAACAAGAAAAAAAAATGAAGACAACTTCGTAAGATTGATTTTGAATGATTCTGGATTTTTTTGCTGGGGAGGGGGTCGGGGGTAGAGGCAGTATTAACCAGCATTTGATTTTAAAAAAGCAAAACTTGATATTACAACTAAAGTTGCAGATATGAAATTTTTAATCAGTTCAAAATCAGAAGAAAAATTAAAATAGACACAAAACTGGAGAAAAATTTTTTTACTTTACTTTTCTTTGTTTTGAGATGGAGTCTTGCTCTGTCGCCCAGGCTGGAGTGCAGTGATGCCATCTTGGCTCACTGTAATCTCTGCCTCCTGGGTTAAAGCAATTCTCCCACTTCAACCTCCTGAGTAGCTGGGAGGACAGGCATGTGCTGCCATGCCCGGCTGATTTTTGTATTTTTAGCAGAGACAGGGTTTCACCGTGTTGACCAGGCTGGTCTCGATCTCCTGACCTCAAGTGATCTGCCCACCTTGGCCCCCCAAAGTGCTGGGATTATAGGTGTGAGGCACCGCGCCTGGCAGAGAAAAGGATTTTTTAAATAAAAGAGTGCCTTGATTCTGCATCTACTGGGTATCTCTGTGTGTGTGTGTGTGTGTGTGTGTGTGTATAAATCTCATTTGCTGCATCTTGCTATAGTTGCCTAAAAACTATGTTTTTTCTCCTCAGGGAATACAGTACTCATGGTTGTTCAATAATTGTGGTTGACTAATTGGTTACAGTTCCATTAGGAAATTGAAAACAGTATTTTGAATATAATTTTCAGTTAAAATTTTCTGCAATACTACTCAAAGATGAATAAAGCAATTTGGAGCCTGATCTTTTGACTAAAATAGGAATGCAAGAGATTACTTATTTGTACTTTTCACATTTCAGAGTTCTTAAAACTCATAAAGGGATATCCAGCACAAACACAGTGTGTTAGAAGAGAGTTGTATGAAAGTAAGACTAGACCATGTAACTCTGGACAAATTTAATTCTAGAAATATTTAGTTTCAAAGTAAACCTGAATTTGTGTTCCTTTGAATTACAATGTTCTGATGTTGTTATGGGTTTGAGTTATGACCCCACAAAAAGCTGTGTTGAAATTCTAGGCCTTAGGACCTCAGAATGTGGCCTGATTTAGAAATTAAGGTCTTTACAGAGGTAATCAGGTTCAAATGAGGTCACTAGGGTGGGCCTTAATCCAATATGACTGGTGTCCTTATAAAAAGAGGAAAGTTGGACACAGAGACAGACCTGCACAGAGGGAAGATGATGTAAAGATACAGGAGAAGACAGCACGTGATTGGAGTGATACAGCTAGGAGCTGAGCATTGCCAGGACTGTCAGCAAACACCAGAAGCTGGAGTAGGCAAGGGAGAATCCTCCCCTACAATCATCAGCAATAGCACAGCCCCAGTAACACCTCTGTTTTTTTGTTTTGTTTTGTTTTTGAGATAGGGTCTCACTTTGTCACCCAGGCTGGAGTGCAGTGTCATGATCATAGCTCAGTGCAGCCTCAAATTCCTGGGCTCAAGCAATCCTCCCAACTCAGCCTCTTAAGTAGCTGAGACTACAGGGCGTGCCATCGTGCCCAGCCGATTTTTGTATTTTTTGTAGGAATGGGGTTTTGTTATGTTGCCTAGGCTGGTCTTAAACTCTTGGGCTCAGGTGATCTGTCCACCTTGGCCTCCCAAAGTGCTGGGATTACAGGCGTGAGCCACTGCGCCTGGCCCTGTTTTTGAATTTCCAGGCTTCAGAGCTGTGAGACAGTAAATTTCTGTTGTATTAAACCACACCATTTTTTGGTGCTTTTGTTACACCAGCCCTAGCTAATACAGATGTCAAATCACTAACACTCCCTTCTCCTTTTCCATGACTCTTTGGAGTATTCCAAGCTCCTTTCATTAATGTCACTGTAAAATGTTAAAGGGAAAAATGTCAGAATTTATATTTGTGACTTGATTTTTTTTTTGAGAAAGAGTCTCGCTGTGTCAAACAGGCTGGAGTGCAGTGGTGTGATCTCAGCTCACTGCAACCTCTGCCTCCCATATTTAAGTGATTCTCGTGCCTCAGCCTCCTGAGTAGCTGGGATTACAGCCACAAGCCACCATGCCTGGTTAATTTTTGTGTTTTTAGTAGAGACGGGGTTTCACTATGTTGGCTAGGCCGGTCTTGAACTCCTGACCTCTAGTGATCTACCCACCTCAGCCTCCCAAAGTGCTGGGATTACAGGCGTGAGGCACCACACCTGGCCTATGGCTTGATTTTTAAAGTATGCCTATATTAGTTTACATATTTGCCTTGAATTTTAACTTATTCATAGACTATCTGCACATTTCATTTATTAGGTCTCCTTAACTTGGAGATCGTGGACCCTATGGGGTCGATTAATAGGTAGGGTCATGAACTTGAATGTGAACAAATTTACATCTTTATTTTCAGTAACTTCTGACTGAAACTTAGCATTGCTTTAAAATATGAATACTGGTAACAAGCCACAGTGATAACAGCAATACCTAGTAATGTCAGCAATAGGAATCACCAACATTTTTCCATCAGATTACAATATTTTCACATATATCACAATCACAATCTTAAGTCCATCTTCCAGCTAATTATATACACACTGAATTATTCATAGAGAATTGCAATTTGCTTTGCAATTTACATGGAAAATGCATAAAAACATTAAGATTGATGACGGATGGTTAGATAGATAACATGATAAAGCAAGCATAAGTAATGTTCCTTTTTTTTTTTTTTTTTTTTTTTTTTTTTTTTTTGAGACAGAATCTCGCTCTTTTGCCCAGGTCGGAGTGCAGTGGCGCTATCTCGGCTTGCTGCAAGCTCCACCTGCAGGGTTCACGCCATTTTCCTGCCTCAGCCTCCCGAGTAGCTGGGACTACAGGCGCCCGCCACCGCGCCTGGCTAATTTTTTGTATTTTTTTAGTAGAGACGGGGTTTCACCGTGTTAGCCAGGATGGTCTGGATCTCCTGACCTCGTGATCCGCCCGCCTTGGCCTCCCAAAGTGCTGGGATTACAGGCGTGAGCCACTGCGCCCGGCAGCATAAGTAATGTTAATGGGAGAGTCTAGGCAGTGAGTATACAGATATTCTTTGTGGGATCAACTTTGCTGCATGTTTAAAAATGTCCATGCTAAAATGTTACAAAATGTTAGAAAATGATTATGTTTATTGGTACTTCAAAATTATAATTGTGCCCATCAATAGTGTTATTTAATGTGTTCACAGATGTACATATATTACTACACCACAGATTTGGGTTTTAAAGTATTTCAAAAACTGTGTTCCCACATGATTGGTTTCTTCTGTGATTCTACAAATTTCTTATTATTCACTTAATAATAAAAGACTTCCGTAGGCTTCACCAGACTACAAAAGGGTTGACAATACACTTAAGAATTTCATCTGTAAGGTTATGATTTAAAAACTAATGAACAGCAATATTATTCCATAAAGCTATTTGAAAGGATCGAGTTTATAGTATGTCAAAAGTAAGAAAAGCAAAAACAAAAAAATGGAGACTTCAAAATGTCACATAACAACTGTGAAAAAAATTAAAAGCTTGCTGATATTTAAGACATAAATTACATTTTGTACCAGTTATCAACTGCTGTGTAACAAACTCTCCCAGAACTTGATAGCTTAAAAGAACAACTTATTATCTTATGGTTCTGTGTATTCATTGAGCTCAGTTAGGCAGTTTTCATTTGAGGACTCTGACATGGTAACAGTCAGATAGCTGCTGGGGCTGCCATGTGAAGCCTTATTCAAGCCTTAGCTGGATATCTTAGCTGGACATCCATGATGGCTCACCCAAGTGGCAGACAGTGCTGGCTGTCACCTGGTAGCTCAGCTGGGGATGGTGACCACAGAAAAACATGTGACCGCTGTGTATAGCTTGAGCTTCTCACAGCTTGTTTTCTGGGTTCCAAGAGACAGCATCCCAAGAACAAGCATTCCAAGAAACCCTAAGGAGCTGCAAAGCTTCTCACCTAACCTTGAAAGTCACATGGCATAACTTTCACCACGTTAGACCTGCCAAAAGTGAGTCACGGAGGCAGCCCAGATTCAAGGGAGAGGACTGTACAAAGACAGGAATACAGGGTATATGGCTCATGGGTTGGGAGAGGTGCATCTCTGGAGACCAGATGTGCCACATCTGTAAGACTACCATACATATCTAGGAAAAGGACTGTGCATAACCTGAATTTGATGAGCACAGAACTGCTGACTGCTGGCCTTTCTCACTTACGTCTCCAATACATTTAGCTCATTATTTCTCAAAGAGCCCCAGGTGAATTCCTTTCCCATTGAATTTCTTATGTTCGTCTTGGATAAGTAAAAATGGGACCAAATCTGTGATTTAGTACTCCCTAGTTCCCCATTATCTCTAAAAGCTCAACCATTTGCATCCAGTTCCTTCAACCAGAATCGTCTTTTTTTGTAGACAAGAAATGCATTCTATATATTTTTTTGTTTTTATACCCTTCACATTTCTAGGACCAAGCATACTGCCTCATACACAGCAGTTCCCCAAAAATAATCTAACAATTTTCATCATAAGAATCAGATGCACAAAGCTATCCTGGCTCTAGGAAGTGGGTTGGAGGAATAAACAGAAGTTGTCATCAGTATGCACTCACCACAAAGAATATGCAAACCCTTCTGTGACTAGTTTCTGGGGACAGAATGGGAGAAAGTTTTGTTCCTTGATGGGATTCAGCATTCTCCTTTAAGTGCACATGTTTCCAGTAAAGGAACTGATTTTTATTGTGTCCAACCAGGTATATCCTATCAATCAAGGATACTTTAGCAAATCTGAATTGACCTTTCAGTGGAATAAAAATTGAAAACAGATCAACTACGTGATATGATTTAGCTGTGTCCCCATCCAAATCTCATCTTGAATTGTAGCTCCCACAATTCCCACGTATTGGTGGGAGGGACCTGGTAGGAGGTAATTGAATCATGGGGGTGGGTCTTTCCCTGCTGTTCTCATGATAGTGAATAAGTCTCATGAGCCCTGATGGTTTTTAAGAGGGAGTTTCCCTGCACAAGTTATCTCTTTGCCTGTTAACTATCCACGTAAGACGTGACTTTGCTCTTCTTTGCCTTCTGCCATGATTGTGAGGCCTCCCCAACCATGTGGAACTATGAGTCAGTTAAACAACCTCTTTCCTTTATTATTTATTATTTTTTTATTTTTATTTTTTTTAAGGTTTTAATCACATTAGTGTATTTTTGAAAAAAGGAAAAACTTATTCTTACATATAGGCTGGTATCAGTGATGAATAATAATAACACTACAATTTCTGTTTTGGAAACTTCTGAAAAGTTGTCCATGACATTGTCAAAATCAATCTTCTTTGCATATTAATGGTTAGTATTCAGGGGAGCTATATCTACTAGTCCATCTTTGCTCACAGTTGTTTGAAGAACACTTTTTATTAATTTTTTTATTATACTTTAAGTTCTAGGGTACATGTGCACAATGTGCAGGTTAGTTACATATGTATACATATGCCATGTTGGTGTGCTGCACCCATTAACTCGTCATTTACATTAGGTATATCTCCTAATGCCATCCCTCCCCCCTCCCCCAAACTCATGACAGGCCCCAGTGTGTGACGTTCCCACCCCGTGTCCAAGTGTTCTCATTGTTCAGTTTCCACCTATGAGTGAGAACATGCGGTGTTTGGTTTTCTGTCTTTGAGATAGTTTGCTCAGAATGATGGTTTCCAGCTTCATCCATGTCCCTACAAAGGACATGAACTCATCCTTTTTTATGGCTGCATAGTGTTCCATGGTGTATATGTGCCACATTTTCTTAATCCAGCCTATCATTGGTGGACATAAGGGTTGGTTCCAAGTCTTTGCTATTGTGAATAGTGCTGCAATAAATATACCTGTGCATGTGTCTTTATCGCAGCATGACGTATAATCCTTTGGGTATATACCCAGTAATGGGATGGTTGGGTCAAATGGTATTTCTAGTTCTAGATCCCTGAGGAATCACCACACTGTCTTCCACAATGGTTGAACTAGTTTACACTCCCATCAACAGTGTAAAAGTGTTCCTATTTCTCCACATCCTCTCTAGCACCTGTTGTTTCCTGACTTTTTAATGATTGCCATCTAACTGGTGTGAGATAGTATCTCATTGTGGTTTTGATTTGAATTTCTCTGATGGCCAGTGATGATGAGCATTTTTTCATGTGTCTGTTGGCTGCATAAATGTCTTCTTTTGAGAAGTGTCTGTTGATATCCTTTGCCCACTTTTTGATGGGGTTGTTTGATTTTTTTCTTGTAAATTTGTTTGAGTTCTTTGTAGATTCTGGATATTAGCCCTTTGTCAGATGGGTAGATTGTAAACATTTTCTCCCATTCTGTAGGTTGCCTGTTCACTCTGATGGTAGTTTCTTTTGCTGTGCAGAAGCTCTTTAATTAGATCCCATTTGTCAACAACCTCTTTCCTTTCTAAATTACCCAGTCTAGGGACTGTCTTTATCAGCAGTGTGGAAATGGACTAATATACTAGGTGAATGAACAAGGCAGACAATAAAAGGAAAAAAACACACTTAAAAAAAGCAACTCCTTGTCCAGTCAATATAAGCCTTTTGGGATCTCTGTTTCCCAACAAATTGAATACTCATATTTGCCAGAAAGAGTGCTCAGCATTCTATGAAACATTTTATCACACTGAGTTAATAAGTCTTCCTAACAATCTGTAAGGCAGGTCCTATTACTCTTTCCATCTTATGGGAAATGGAGACCAAGAGACTTTAAATGACTACTGGTAAAACCCAGCTTTGACCATTTCCCAGGCTGATGCCAGTGCCTCCCCAGGTGACTGGTCTATCTTTTGTCTATGACAAGGACAGCCATCTAGTGCTCACACACGGAGGGGGCTGAAAGAGATTTGCAGCAGACACCTCTGTTGCTCTGCATTCCATTCTGTCAATCCACCTCTGAACCCAGCCACAGCTGCAGTGTCCTCTGTGCTACCTCAAACCTAAGCCATGGGACTCTCCACTCTGCCCCAGGGTCTTACGACCTGTAAACATCCATTCTTTTCACCAGCCAGCCCAGAAATGTGGGGTAATGACTGCCCCTAGGGACAACTCTCAATGAATAGGGGACAGAAGCTGTGAACAAATGCTCCCCACTGCCATCCTTAAAGTGGACAATTCTGGAAGGTTTTGGTACATCTTCCAGGGGGCCCTGATGGAATCCAGACCCCTTATGTCCACAACTTTAATAACATTATTTCCCCCTTTTTTTTTTTTTTTTTTTTTTTGAGATGGAGTCTCACTCTGTCACCCAGGCTGGAATGCAGTGGCACCATCTCGGCTCACTGCAACCTCCAGCTCCTGAGCTCCAGTGATTCTCCTGCCTTAGCCTCCCAAGTAGCTGGGACTATAGCCATGCACTATCATGCCCGGCTAATTTTTTGTATTTTTAGTAGAGACACGGTTTTGCCATGTTGGCCAGGCTGGTCTCGAACTCCTGACCTCAGGTGATCCACCTGCCACAGCCTCCAAAAGTGCTATAATGTTCCTTTATTTTGGCGTTTCCTCCTCTGTCTCCCAGAAACATCCATTCCAGGAAATTACCTACACTAAGTCCTTGTCTCAGACTGTGCTTTTTGGGAAAGAGGTCTGTTATTTTTGGACACACACAACAGCAAACAGTACCCCACCATTTAGTGGAAAGAACGGAAGGGAAGCTCCCAATCTGTGTGTGTTTCTTCTGCAAATTCACTAAATGAGTCCCTACTGAAAGAGGTCCTTGGAGATTACTAAGTAGCTTCAGTGTTCACATTCAGGCTTGTTAGTTGTCTTACTAATTAGACGGCAATCCCCTTGAGGGTAAGTGGTTTGACTTTCATTGTTGTTTCCCACACAGCTCCTAAATGGCTGCCAAGCATTTAATAGGTGCTCCATTAGTATGTGCTGATTAACAAAATAAGTGGCTCATAATCTTGAGTGTGACCTCTTTTTGTTCTAGCTTATTAAGAAGCAGGCAGTATCTTCCCTAGTGTATCTTCCCTGGGCAATTTTCTCTGCTTGAGGCACGCTTTATCCTAATCTCCAATTGTCCAACACTAATGAGTATTATCTTGTTTGAACATGTCTACACCAAACAATCAGATAGACTCAAATAGAGATGGTCTAAGAATGGTGGAAGAAGCATAGATTTCAAGTCAGATAGCCCAGGGTTGAATTCAGACACCTCAACCTACAAAATATGGAAAGCCCAGCAAGGTAATTCACTTTATTGAAGCTGTTTCCTAATCTGTGTACAGGCGTTAGTGATCCCCTACCTTGTAGGGCTTTTGGGAACAGTAAATTAAGTCATGTGCAAAGCATGTAGTATAGTAAAGCACACAGTGGTTCATACCCAGGATCTTTCCTGCCCCTGGGCCACTGCTTGGTTTTTATGATGTACCTTTTGTGTGATCAATACATCAATACATAAAGAGAATAGATTTCTGTTTTGTAAGAGAAAGGTAATTAACTGTCATTTTTATTTCATGTGGCTGAAGCCAAAATCAAATAAGATTATGCATGTCAAAGTTACTTGAAATTTGTAAAGGTACTGACTGGTAGTGAAGACAGTGAAGACAGGGCTGCCATGTACAGTTGTACATTCTGTGTACTGTTCAAAAGCCCAGGCCAAAGGATGAGTTAGGGGTGAAATAAAGAGAGGCTACATGCTCCCTGTGAGGGTGCATTTTTCTAATTTTCCCACTCAAAGAGAGTACCTTTTTATAATACACACAGAGGGGCCGCAGTGACTAGGAGAGGGATTAAGTGTACGAATTCAATAGTAGACTTTAGGACCAGGCTCAACGTGTTCAAATCTTGGCTCGGGCATCCTTGGACACAGTGCCCTTGTGCCTCAATTTCATCATCTACAAAATAAAAGATTCTTATAGTGCTCATAGGTTATGAGTATTTCATGAACATATGTAAAGCACTTAGGATAGTACCTGCTAAATAGTAATTGCTCAATAAATACTCATGGTTAATTTTTCTAGTTTTTATTCTTGTAAATGTAATTTATAATCCCCATGTGTCAGCTATGGTGAAACAACACATAGTAGTAATAATTCAAAGTAGAACTTATTCTACTTTGAATAAGTGGCCACCAGAATTTATTCTCTTGGGTGGATAATTTGTATTTATTTACTTATTTGAGACAGAGTCTCACTCTGTTGCCCAGGCTGGAGTGCAGCAGTGCGATCTCGGCTCACAGCAACCTCCACCTCCTGGGTTCAAGTGATTCTCTTGCCTCAGCCTCCCAGGTGGCTGGGATTACAGGCACATGCCACCATGCTCATCTAATTTTGTATTTTTGGTAGAGACGGACTTTTGTCATGTTGGCCAGGCTGGTCTTCAACTCCAGACCTCAAGTGATCTGCCCACCTCAGCCTCCCAAAGTGCTGGGATTACAGGCATGAGCCACTGCGCCCAGCTCTCGGGTGGAAAATTGTTTTCTTTAGCTCAAGCTAGGCTTTTAGTACCAATGACTTTGAAGAGCTCTGTATTTAGTTTAGACCAAGCTGAGTATTTCTAACAGGTTGCCTAAAACTTTGTCAATAGGTCATGATACTTCTTATGATAACTTCTCTTTGGATGATTTAGTAACTAAATGCCAACCCTTGTCAGATTATCAACTCTTCAAGGGCAAAAACTATATTTATCATTTTAGTATATATTACTCTGGCATATTATATGCAAGAAAATGCTGCTAAAATGATAATACAAATGTCTGCCAAGGGAACTTCAAAGACACATCCCAGTAGAACATGCTGCAGTGACAGAACCCAGAGATGACAAAGACATGAATAATGTTACAAACAATCGTTTCTTAAGCAAGGATCTAACCACAGCATCCTTCCCCCTTGGTGCGAATCATCAGCAATGACTTTTCATTATTCGTAAGAGTTACAAAGCCATTTCTGGCTCTTACTGACTGTGATCATTGGGGAAAGGTAGAGAAAAAAGGAAATGGGGAGATCCGGGAGGGAGGGGCTCTCTGAATTTCTTCCAGGAAGAAAAGAACCATTTGTTTTACCAGTTCTGGGACAGCTTTCAGAAAGACAGCCAAATCCTTTCAGATTTGATTAATTTGGCCAACCAACTAAATTAAAACGTCCTTGATAAGAAATGGGTGAAGGAATGTATAGAGGAAGAATTCAGGAGGTTTCCAATATGCTCAATTTCAAACCAAAACATACTAAAGATTTTTTTTTGTAAGACAGGATCTCTCTCTGTTGTCCAAGCTGGAGTGCAGTGGCATGATCATGGCTCACTGCAGCCTTGACTTCCTGGGTTCAAGCGATCCTCCCACCTCAGCCTCCCTAAGTAGCTGGAACTATAGGCACATGCCACCAGGCCTAGCTAATTTTTGTATTTTTTGTAGAGTAGGGGTCTCATCATGTTCCCCAGGCTGGTCTCGAACTCCTTGACTCAAGGGATCCACCCGCCTCGGCCCCCAAAAGTGCTGGGATTACAAGTGTGGTCACTGCGCCCTAGAAGTTTTTTTAAAAAATTTATTTTCAGGGAGCAATTGGCCCAAAATAGGCTGTGAAAAGCAGAATGACTATCTTTTTCTGACTTAGCCGTTTTCTATCTCCATTTCCCTTATCGCAAATAAAATTTTAGTCTATATAAATCATGTTTTATAAGTAAAATAGAAAAAGATAAAATCATCATATTTATGTTTCATTTTCTTTGTTTTTCTCTCAATAGCCCCTGTCACTGCGACTTTTCTCATCCCTTGATCACCTCACCTGGGGAATACATAAGACTGTGGCCTTCCTGACAGTCTCCATTCAAATCCAATTGCCTACGTCGCCAGAAGTCTTTCTGGAGTGCCTCTTGCCACATCAATGCAGACTCATGATCATCATGAAGCCAGTTCCTTATTACTCACCACATTAAATCTTTTCTGGGTAGAGATAGGGTCTCACTATGTTGCTCAGGCTGGTCTCAAACTCCTGGACTCAAGCTATCCTTCTGCCTTGGCCTCCCAAAATGCTGGAATTACAGGTGTGGGACACTGTGCCCAGCCACCACATCAAGTCATAAGCTAAATCCTGCATTTCTTTCGTCATGATGTATGCATAGCAGTTATATAATTAATCTTAAAATTAATCTACATAATAACAACAATATTAAGGACAATATTTTCCTTGTAACTTGATTTACTGGAACACATATCTTTATCCATTAGCCTGAAAAATATCCATTTCTGTATACTACCTAGGTTACTCACTTAAATCCAAGATTTGAGCCAAAATATACGTCTAATTAATCACATTGTGTTATAGCTGGTTATAGGAAACTGGTTCCCAGACAAATTCCCATACATGATCTGCTTAAGTGAGGATAACAGATTGACTCAGGAATCAAAAGCAATCCATTTTTTAAAAAAGAAAAAAATGAAAGCGATGTCTCATTCTAGCTGCCAGACTATGATTTCCTTGAGGGAAAAGATTATTTGATTCATCTTTACATCCCCCAAGAATAACATAGTGTCTGAGACATGCTAGGCATTAAATAAATATTGATTAAACGAATAAGTGTAGACATTGTTAAGCTGAAGATTAAGTATGTCTCACTTCATAATTTATGAGATATGCTTTAATTATCATTTGTGTTTTAGAAACCTCTGTATATATTTCATCTTTATATTGATTTATCATGTCGCATCATTTAAGCTTATGCTAACATTTAGCGCTCACTCACTTTTGTCTCCTTGGTTGATCATATATTTTCCTCGTTGTATTAGAGTGTTGGCCACTTGGCGGAAAAGAACAGAGATCACTGAAGTCCCCACAAGGGGCCGGGCCTTACTTAAAGAATATACACTTGTGGCAACTCAGAAAAGCTGGACCATAAGACTTCAGAAAAACCAGAGACGACTTTTGATCTTCACTCTGGTGTTCTGCCATGAACACAACATTCTGTCTTAAAGGGTGTTGCCTTTATAGGCCACTCCTCCTGCATGCTCTGCGGTCTGCACCCGGTGCCACCTGGCTGACTCTTTCCCTTTTCCATGCAGATTCTTTATCACATAGCTTCCACTTCCTCACGGGATTCTTTACTCAGAATTTGGCTTGCCATGACCCTCCATGACTTTTTTCTTCTAAGAGACAAGATCTCGCTCCATCCCTCAGGCTGGAGTGCAGTGGCACGAACACGGCTCACTGCAGCCTCGACCTCCCAGGCTCAAGAGCTCCTCCTACCTCAGCCTCCCAAGTAGCTGGGACTGCAGGTGCGTACCACCACACCAGGCTAATAATTTTTTAATTTTTTTGTGGAGATGGGGGTTTCGTTATGTTGCCCTGTCTGGTCTTGAACTCATGGCCTCAAAAGATCCTCCTGCAAGGCCGGGTGTGGTGGCTCACGCCTTTAATCCTAGCGCTTTGGGAGGCTGAAGTGGGTGGACTGTCTGAGGTCAGGAGTTCAAGACCAGCCTGGCCAACATGGCGAAACCCTGTCTCTACTAAAAATACAAAAATTAGCCGGGTGTGGTGGCACATGCCTATAATCCCAGCTACTTGGGAGGCTGCGGCAGGATAATCGCTTGAACCTGGGGGTCAGACGTTGCAGTGGGCCAAGATCACACCACTTCACTTCAGCTTGGGCAAACAGCAAAACTCCATCTTAAAAAAAAAAAATCCTTTTGCCTTGGCCTCCCAAAGCTCTGGGATTACAGAGCTGGGTGCGTGCCACTGTATCCAGCCCTCTATGACTTTAATTCTCATATGGTAATCTTTCAGCTCCTGCTCCACTGCTAAGTGATACTGTGAATTCTCCATTCAAATTCCTAAGTCAAAGTGCTCAACCGAATACATTTTGGCTGCTTGTTTGTGGGGTGAGGGTGCCGTCCATGTAGTTTGTATATACAGAACTGCCATTTGGCAGTGACTGTGAGTTGGGCAGCTTCATGTAGTAGAAGGCTGTAGGTTAGCAAGTACACGATTGACGTTTCCAATAAGATTGGCCTGATCATCCACTTCTTAACGTTGCTTATTCTGGTTTCACTCTTTGATTCTAAGTTTAATTTATCGTGAAATTGTCTGAGCTCACCACTTTTGCCCAAAGTCTGTAACAGTTCTAATCTTTTATATCATGTGAAACTGAAATTGTTGCATGGTACAGAGATGTTCTGTATTTATTGATTAGTTATTATTTGAGATTACTATAAAATATATGTTAATACTTTGACATGTTGAAATGTATGAAAGATAGACAAGGAATAAAGAAAAGCTGAACCAGAATTTCCTCATTAAATCTGAACAAAGTTTCACCACTCTCGTGGCAATTAAGTAACGTATTTTGAAACCAGAGAAATTGGTTCAAATTACTAATAACAACTGATAGTAAAGTCCTACTTCAAAATTTAAAATCTTGAGCTTCTGTGGTCTGCATGGTAATTTAGAAACTATTAATAAAACATTGATTGTGTTATTCTATGCAGTTTACAAAACACAGAGCCATTATTTAACAAGAATAAATTTTTAAAACCATGATGAGTTGCATGGGAGAATAAAATCCAATTTTATTTTCTTCATGAGCCACTCATTTAATATGAAACTTTCTTTTTTTAGAAAAATAAATTTTATTTTTCTTTTTTTAAATCTTCAACTTTTAGTTTATGTTCAGGGGTACATGTGCAGGATGTGCAGGTTCATTACATAGGTAAACGTGTGCCATGGTGGTTTGCTTCAAAGATCATCCCATCACCTAGGTATTAAGCCCAGCATCCACTAGCTATTCTTCCTGATGCTTAATATGAGACTAATATTCTGTGCATACTCTTCCATCAGCTCCTAGAAGCTGATATTCAAAACCACGTGTGTATGGAGTCTCTTGTATCTATCCCCTTATTACGAAGCTAACCTTCCCCCTTCATAAAGAAGTTTGGCATTAACAGGATAAAGTTGGGAAATGAGTTCAGAAAGCTAGTATTTAGATGGCACATTGGTACTTAAATCTGACCCATCAGAGGCCTGGCAGAAAACGAAAGTCTATAGCTGGAAATCAAATCACAGGGGTATCTGTAGGAACTCTGAGCTGCTGCCATTTTCTCCAGATAGCGATGGAGCACAGCTGTCAGAGTGAAATCCCGGTTGACTGACTGACTGCATAAAATGCCATGAGAAACACCTGTCTCATCAAGGACATTAAAAAGGTAAACACAGAACAGCCAATCAAGTCAGAAAAAGCCAGCTTTCATCTCCTTTTTTGTGGAGTAGAGTCCAAATCAGTGTCTTTTAAAAGAGTATCCTTTAATCTGATTGTAGTGTCAATCATGGCTCAAGAGTTAAGTTCATTGGAAAAATAAAACTGTGTAATAAGAAATCATACAGAGAAGAAAAAAATGAAAAATCAGAAAAGGACCCTCCAGCCCTGATGGTTTTTCCCTTTGAAGCGGGGATTCATTTTGAAATTTTAAGTGTTTTTTTGGTCCATAGAAATAAGAATCCTATTATTTTTAAATGGTTATAAGCATGTTGTAACTATAGTTCAGAAATGAAAATCCTATGAAATTGGTGCTTTGAGGAGGATTGACCAAAGGTTATTTAAAATAATACATTTTAAAGCCATAAGACTAAATTAAGTGAAGGTGTGTACTATATGAGAAAAAAAAATTGTGGATTTCTCTTTTAAAACATGTACAACCCTGAAGGAAGAGAGGTCGTGACATAGAGAAGTTCTGACCCTCTCTTCACCCATCTTTAATCAAACAAAAATTCATAGGCAAACCTTGCTTAGAGTGCTTACATACAAGGTGAGAAATTCTAGGGTCTTTCTGTCCTGCTGCCATATTCAGATTTGAGAGGCAGGCGTTCAGGAGTAAGTTGAGGAAGCTTCTTGCACAACCTTAAGTCACTTTTTAAGATATTTGCAGTGTTCTTTCAGATAAAAATGGTGCTGAGGGGTGCTGATAGTTACTTACAGTTTGAACAGTTTGCAAGATACTTTTCTTATTCCTTTCCACTGCAGGTGCCTTCTCTCTCCTCTTTTTTTTTCTGGACTGACATTTATTTTCATCAAAATAAGTAGTCGGGTTGATTTATTTCACCCGAATTAACCTTATATAAGGGAAGTTGCCAACAGGCTTCACAATGTAGTCCATTGCGCCCAGGACATCCGACTTATTTCTGCAGCATCCATAATGATGTCAAAGTTAGAGGTTAGTAGGACCCCCAAGGAGTGGAACTTTCTGGAAAAGCAAAATCCAAATTGTGTCTTTCCTTCTAGATATTCAACAGAACAGTGTTTGTTCAGACCTGTGGTTCCAACAACAACAAGAAGAAATTCCAACAACAAGAAGAAACAAACGGTATGAACTGGATCTAGTAGTTAAAGTTGTACCTTGAAAGGAATGAAAGAGTATGTGGTATTTCATTTTAGCTATTTTATAAATATGTTCTTCAAAGTGTTGCTCAGTCAATTCTGCAAGCTCCTACTATAATTCAGTATTATAATTCAGTAAGTTGCCAATACTTACTGAATATCTGAGTAAAATCTTTTTGCCATGACTACTTAAATTAATTCAAATACTGAGTCCCTACTCTGCAAGTTTTTGCCAGGTACAAATCCTACTGGAAAGGCAATTCTGTATTTTGAATTCTGGATGTTTCCTTGTAAACTCCATCACTATTAGCCACCATTTCCATAATCCCCATTTATGTAATGAGGAACATCAGCACTGCTAAGCTTAAATATGTTAATTCTTCACTTTCTAAGCTTTCACCACAGGAGAGCATGGTTCACTTTTAAAAATGGTATCATAAAGTTCTGTGTATGTGCAAAAAAAAAATGCGGTTTTTATCTGCCCAGGATCCATTTCCCTCTTTTTTTTTTGTTTTGTTTTTGTTTTGTTTTGTTTTCTGGAAAACAGCACTTGGATTTTCCTCAGGGAAATCCTCTTCGTCCTCCACTGTCTGTAAGCATGGTGAGAGAGCCGATCAAGTAGCCCTCCCCTCTCCTGACCTGGGGAGATCAAGCCAGGTCACTCTGATCCCCTCTCCTAGGAACTTGAACCTTGAGACACTTGACACCAGTTGACTTGAGGTGAGCTGACTCACCTCAAAAGATAGACTCCAAGGAGCCCAGCCACAGTTCCCAATACTGAAATTCTCAGAGCAGCCCTGATCCAACCTTCAGCTTTCCTTCCATAGCTCTGCTGTTGGCCAGTAGCCCTCAAAAAATAGTGATGCACAATGAAGTCACATTGAGAGATTATTAAACATTAAATTATCAGGATCCATCCCTGAGATTCAGAGTCTATGAGTCTAAGATGGTTCCCAGAGATCTGCATTTTTTTGGGGACCAACATCCCTGGGAATCCTAACGCTAGTGACCCAAAGTACACACTAAGAAGCTGTATTAGTCCATTCTAATGCTGCTAAAAAAGACATACCTGAAACTGGGTAATTTATAAAAGAAAGAGGTTTAATGGACTTACAGTTCTTCATGGCTGCGGAGGCCTCACAATCAACGGCCGAAGGCAAAGGAAGAGCAAAGGGACATCTTACATGGCGGCGGATAAGAGGGCTTGTGCAGGGGAACTCCCCTTTATAAAACCATCAGATATTGTAAGACTTGTTCACTATCATGAGAACAGCATGAGAAAAATCTGCCCCCATGATTCAATTACCTCTCACCGGGTCCTTCCCATGACTCGTGGGGATTATTACACTTCAAGGTGAGATTTGGGTGGGAACACAGAGCCAAACCATATCAGCAGCATTGCTACAAACCTCCAATAAATTCTATCTTTTAAATTAGAAAGAGGTGATTTCTAGTATGTACCACCGAATTATATTATCCACCCTCTCTGAAGTTTTTTGGAGGGTAATTATGAATATAGAGGCATAGAACCTTGGGGGAGAGGAAGGGAGAGATCCCACATCTTCCAAGTAGATTCTTTTAGCTCACCATTCCTTGACATCTTGCCCTGTCTCCCTTAACTACGAGCCTTGAAAGTCATTAAGAAGCCTTTGTTCTAATTAGAACTATGTCCCACTCCTCTCTGTAGAAAAAAGATTGTGATCCACTCTTTCGAATAGCTATCACATTGTTTCATAATATCATATCTGCTCCAAAGAAAAAACTGATTCACCCAATAATGAAACTACCATAGAGAAGTCAATGGGACACTCTGGGGAAGCTTCACAGACTCACTGGAAATATTACTCCCTCCAGAAAAAAAAAGAAAAAAGAAAGGAAGAAAGAAAAAAATGGTAAGAGATGGAAATTACAACAGAACCCTTGTCCCTTACTCTCTTTATTCAGGTTTATTGTTTGGAAATCAGGGTAGGTTACATAAATTATTTATTCCTTTGGTGGTATGGAGGAGAATGGTGACCTGCTCATCACAAAAGTGCAAGGAAGAAAAAAACCCCAATAAACAAAAAATAAAGCTACTTCTGATGATTCAAACAGAAGAGAATTGGCTGTTATCTCAATGTAATACCAAGGAAGAGAACACACACAGGAGTCTGGCTCAATGGGAAACAGATCTATTCAGCAGAAAGGTTAGCGGGCAATGAAAGCCTCTAAACCAACAACACAAAAGGCTGCTTCAGAGAACGGCTACCTGCCTGTGCTGCCACCGGGAGAAGGAAGGAGGAAGGACACATCTCCTAAAATAGGAGCTGCTTGTTTTATATATGATAAAGATGTTAGGGAAGGTTTCCATACATATAGCCATTAAAGCCCTTAACTCAAGGCTTTAAATAATCTGGTGGTGTTTTTATTTTTAAATGGCTGTGCTTGAAGATAGGTTTTTGTTTTTAAATATGTTTTTGTTTTTAAACATATTTACCTACTTTTGTAACTGCTGTTTTAAAACAAAGTTAGTTTGTGGCTTTTAGTCAATTTCGTGCTTTCAATCAGAACTTAGATCTCCTCTGCACTTCAGTAGGTCCTTGTTATGGGTAAATAAGCTGCTTCTTGCTTTATATTCTTAAAAGAAATACAAGGAATATCATCTAAATCGGGAAAAGAGGCCAAAAGAGGAAATGATTACATAGTTGCAAACTGTAGCAACCAAATTTCTCTTCTACTTTATGCATATCAACCAAATTTCTCTTCTACTTTCTGCATATTGATGAGACCAAGGAACACTTATACCATCACAAAGCTCTGTGTATGTGTGTTTATACACACAAGTATACAGTAAATTTCACATATATCACATAAATCAATGAAGTATCTAGGGGAAGCTTCATAGACTGACTGAGAGCATTACCCCCATCCCCCAAAACGACATATTATAATGACAAGTAGGAATAAAGAGGTAGTAGTGAAAGAGTAAAAATTTGATATTTCCCCAGCATTATGTATATATGTATTCAACCATTACGTCTTGAGTGTCTGTCAGAGGCCAGGCATTCTTGCTGGGCAACAGAGATACAACAATCAAAAAGGGAATGAAAGAAACTTAAGTTCTAAGATGGGCAGACAACTAGAGGGATAATTAGGATAAGGTAGGGTAAGTGTTATGATAGGGGAAAAGCAAGGATACCTAACCGAGACCAGGGAACAGCCTCTGTGGAGGAGCACAGGCAAATAAAAGAGTGTTGATTGTTAGGAAACTGTATGAAATTCAATGCCACTGGGGGACTCCAGAGGATGAAGGTGCTGAGAATTAAGGCTAAGGAGACAAGCAGTGGCTTGATCAAGAAGTGTCTCATAGCAACATTGCTCAGATTGCACTCATATTCTCAGAAAATGGGAACCAACTGGGGGCTTTAAGCAGAGAAATACCATGATTGCTCTTGAAAAAAAATCACAATGGCAGTTCCAATGTGGAGAATGGATTGTTGAAGGATGAAGACTAAGATGGGGTGACCAGTTAGGAGGCTGCTGATAGAGTTTGGCTTTGTCCCCACCCAAATCTCATGTGGAATTGTAATCCCCATAATCCCCCCTTGTCGAGGGAGGGACCCAGTGGGAGGTGACTGGTTAATGGGTGCAGTTTCTTCCACATTGTTTTTATGATAGTAAGTTTTTATGAGATCTGATGGTTTTATAAGGGGTTCTTCCCCCTTTGCTCTCTACTCTCTCCTGCCGCCACGTGAAGAAGGTCCTTATTTCTCCTTTGCCTCCTGCCATGACTGTAAGTTTCCTGAGGTCTACCCAGTTATGAGGAACTGTGAGTCAATTAAACATCTTTCCTTTATAAATTATCCAGTCTTGAGTACTACTTTACAGCAGGGTGAGAATGGACTACTGCAGTTACTGTGGTAACTGGGGAAGAAAATAACAGCCTGCACTAGGATGGAGATAGGTGGAATAGAAAGAAAAGATTCCAGAGCTCTCAAGGAAGTAGCAATGATCGAACATGATTGAATGGATCAGAAAGTAAAGAAGAGGGACAGGACCATGTTTCTGGCTTGGACAATGGAGAGTATAAAAGTGTCATTTAATCTAACCAGTAAATGAGGAGTAGATATAAGTAGTGGTGGGAGAGTGGAAGGGAGGAGCAGAGAGAGGGAGGAACAGGACCGCAAGGATGGAGCTCAGTCTTGTATAACCATGTTTACAGTGCCTGGAGAGTTTCCAAATAGAGATGTCTGGAAACTTTTGAATATGGGTCTAAAACTTGGAAGAAAGATCTGGGCTGGGCATATTGATTTGGTAGCTATCAGCGTATGTGCAGAAAAGTTTAACTTCAATTTCTCTAGCCATTTTTTCTAGGTCTATTTTCTTTCAGATTTTCTTTCTTTTGAGCATTCCTCAAATGTTATGTTACCATTCACCAGCTTCTCTAGAGTTGAGGATGGACTCATGACCACCTGAAGGAATAGCAATATGGCAAGACATTGAATATATCATATGTAGATTAGGAGAAATAGGAAGAAAAAAATGGAGACAGGAGAATGTGGTATCACAGAAGTGAAGGGAAAAGTGTTTTAGACAGTGGGATGGGGCCATGTCTAACAGATGTGACCATGTGACCATCATGAGTTGTGTGTATCTTTAGTGACGGATGATAATTCAGTAGGCTAGCACAAATTAATGGAAATATCTCTTAAGATGATGTAAATTCACCTGCTTAGATCTCATATATTCCTTCTGACCTTTATTTATTTAGGAAATCTGCCAGCAACGAAGGTGTACCACAGTGCAAATCAACTCAGTAGGACTTGATCACCCTTCGTGAAACAGGTTCTTATCATGCAAAGCAAAGGACTTAACCCTAACCCACAGTTAAGCACCTCCACATATAACATCTCATGAAGGCCAGACCTAAAGGACATTTGGGAGCTCATAGCAGTGCTGCTATGAGACACTTCTTGATCAAGAAGAAGGCCAGACCTTGCCCTTCTTTATTCCAAAATACTTTGAGTACATATGACAATTTCTCAATCAGTAGACTCCTCCATTTATGAATTACTTTTGCTCAATGCATTTCAGGTTGAGTGTTTTCTAGTGAGGTAGGAGATAACATATTTAAATTTTATAAGCCTTTCTGGGAAAAGGTGAGGGATAAATTAATTTTAAGGCATTTGTCACATTAAATATGTATTATTAAATTAAAACATACTTATTGCAACATACTTAATGATGTAAAAGGTAAAATCCTGCCTGTTCCTCTATAATCTCATTTTCATGTGCTGTTCGTATACTGGTAAAGTCTTTTAGACCTCTACTCATGCAAACACCAATATAAATGCAAACACATGTAGAATAAATGCAATCATACTATATACATTGCTCTACGTCTTAATTTTTATATAACGTATTCTCAGAATATAAACCTCCTTCTACGTAAGTCTATACAAATCTAGCCTTTTCTCTTTAATGTCTATATGCTATTTCCTACTATAGGTGGTATACCATTTATTTATTCCTATTGTCAGATAATCCTGTTATGTCAAACACATTTTAATGTTCCGGAAACTCATATATTTCCACTGCTAGACTAGACTTTTCTGAGAACAGAGATGAAAGGTTCAATTCCTCTGTACATTTCTAACTTTCAGAATAGCCTTGGGCAAAGAGCAGGGACTCAGTAATTGCTTCATGAATGAACAGTTAGATGATGACCACTACATTCCTACATAATTCAATACGCTTTACAAGAGCTTTCTTTAAAACAATGAAGGCATCCTTCTAAAAGGGACTGCTCTTTTTCAGCACTGGAGAAGTTGTACTCAGATGCAGAGGGAGGTGGGAATAATCACAATTGAAACAGTTCACATTTACTTGAGTACTTACTCCGTGCCAAGTGTTTTCATAGTTTAACACATTTAATAATCATAGAAAACTTAAGAGTAAGACTCTTATTATTCTTGTTTCATAGAAAGGCAAGTTGAGGCACAGAGTGATGAAGTAACTTGCAGGAGCTTCTCTGGTGTGCAAAGGCTGGGCCGCTGCCCCGGAAGTGTCATTCACACATGAAACTGCCTCTCCAATGGGAAGAAAAAGTGATAGGTGTTAACTGGGGCTGTGCTGGGAGATGCTAAGGCAACCAGAGGGTCCCATGACCCTGAACATGCACCAACAAGCTCATTCTCTACACATGCCCAGAGGTTGCCAACCACCAACTTAATTTCATTTTCCCGCCTCTGTGCTTCTTAATGTTTATATGAAAGTTTACCTCATTTCCCTTTTTATTTTTTTGTTTTCTTTTTTGAGATGGAGTCTCACTCTGTCACCCAGGCTGGAGTGCAGTGGTGTGATCTCAGTTCACTGCAACCTCCACCTCCTGGGTTCAAGTGATTCTCATGCCTCAGCCTCCTGAGTAACTGGGATTACAGGTGCCCGCCACCACACCTGGCTAATTTCTGTATGTTTAGTAGAGATGGGGTTTCACCATGTTGGCCAGGCTGGTCTTGAAATCCCGACCTCAAGTGATCTGCCCACCTTGGCTTCCCAAAGTGTTGGGATTACAGGAGCGAGCCACCACACCCAGCCCCTTATTTAATTTTAATAAAATGTCATTATGTAGTGAGGTTTATAATTAAAGCCAAATTTAAAGTTCTGAAAAAAATTAAGGATTTTAACATGGCCAATATTAAAAGCTATTATTAATAAAAAAAAAATGCAGTTCCAAATATGAAGTTATCAATTTCTTACGAAAATACATATATGAACTTGACATTCAAAGATACAGAGGTCTTAAAAGCCAAATATCACCCTTAAAGGACATCTTAAGACATTATCTGGAAAAGCTCTGAGTGATTTAAGGAGACAGATATATATACATACACACACACACACATATATACACACACACACATAGTATATATACACACATACATACACACATGCCTTTAAAAATCATTTACTGTGCAAATATATTTCCCAAGGCATATATAAGTGTATAGCTCATACTTATTTATTTATTTAGAGATAGAGTCTCGTCTGTCTCCCAGGCTGGAGTGCAGTGGCACGATCTCGGCTCACTGCAGCCTCCACCTCTGGGGTTCCAGTGATTCTCCCGCCTCAGCCTCCCGAGTAGCTGGGATTACAGGCATGCACCACCACGCACGGCTAAGTTCTTGTATTTTTAGTAGAGACGAGGTTTCACCCTGTTGTCCAGGCTGGTCCTGAACTCCTGACCTCAAGTTATCTGCTCATCTCGGCCTAGCAAAGTGCTGAGATTACAGGCGTGAGCCACCGTGCCCGGCCCGCTCACACTTATTTTAACTGTCGGGACAATTCTGATCACTTGTAAAAAGTATGAATTGTGAGTGAACAACCACAATTAAAAAAAAAAAACTATACTACCTACATTCTACTAACCAGAAATCTCTGTGAACAGGCACTTCAGCACTTCTCTAGCCCAGTGATAATTGATTTTTATACCCAAAAGCACTACAACATTTTCATGTTAATTAAATTTAATTATAATCCCATTATTTAAACTTGGAAAGACATTCCAAACAAGATGACCAAAGCACTATACATGGAATAAGAGTCAATTTCAGCTTGAATCTCAGTTTGACCATCCTCAGACTCTGTGGCCTTTGGCAGTACAGTTTACTTCCCTGGTTTGAAATTTTCTCATCTATAAAATGAAGACATCATCACTTCCTTTGCCTATCCCTAGTGACTGCTTTAATGTCAAATGAAATAGTGGGCATAAAAGCATTTTGTAAACTTTGAAGAACTATGTAAATGTGCGTTGGAACAATCAGAATTTAACTAGAGTACCGAATTGCTTAAGTTACGGTATATATACAAATGCAATATCATTTGGTGACATTTAAATGCTCTAAAAGCTCAAAGGTGATCACACACTATGGAAAGTGTGGATCTTATAAGAGATTACTAACATGTGGACTACATTACCTTCCAGTATCTAGTCATTTATTAATAAAAGCTTTTCAAGACTATTAGTAGTTAGCAACTAACACAGGCAGCAACCAAGTAGACAGCAAACTCCCCTGCTTCATGATCTCCTATCACAATAACTACTCATTTTTCAAAAACAACTACGTATCAGGCCAGAAGTAAGTGCACACAAACATTATTTCATCTTAACTCTCACAATAAACTTTTGAAATTTTACTATTATCCTGATTATATGGGTGAGAAAACCGAGACTCAAAGAAAGAAAAGAACCCCACTATCACACGGTAAGTAAATGATTATATCAAAATTCAAACCCAGGCTAAGTCTGATTCCATTTGTATATATCTCTGTCAGTAACATTTGTCTTTAATGATTTTGTTATGCTAATCACCAGATGCTTTTCTCCTTGCCAGTTCTTTTCTGAAGGAAAATGCCTGAAAAGACAGATAACCTAAGACAAAAAGAAGCAAGATACTTGAACAGGTACTTCACAAAAGAAGATGGCTAAATGGCCGGGTGTGGTGGCTCACACCTGTAATCCCAGCCCTTTGGGAAGCTGAGGTGGGCGGATCACAAGGGCAGGATTTCAAGACCAGCCTGGCCAATATGGTGAAACCCCGTCTCTACCAAAAATACAAAAATTAGCTGGGCGTGAAATTGGCGGGCACTTGTAGTCAGGAGGCTGAGGCTTGAATGCGGGAGGTGGAGGTTGCAGAGAGCTGAGATTGTGCCACTACGCTTCAGCCTGGGCAACAGAGTGAGACTCCATCTCAAAAAAAAAAAAAAAAAAAGAAGATGGCCAAATGGTCAATAAATATATGAAAACATGCTTGACTTCATTAGTTATCAGGGAAATGCACAGCAAAGCCATAATGGGATACTCTGACATACTCATCAGACACGCTAAAATGCAAATGACAATACTAGGTGTAGGGGGGAGGCACACAGGTGGGAGTGAACATTGACCCGATGTTTCAGAAAGCTGCTGACCAGCATCTACTTAAGCACAATGTATTTATACTGTACCCTATGACTTGGCAGTTTCATTCCTTGGTTTGCATCCAAGAGAAATGCATACATAAACATTCACAATATGGCATGTCCCAACTGTTTATAACAGCACTATTTATGATAGCCCCAAACTGGAAACTACCCAAATGCCCATCAACAGTAGCATGGATCACTAAGTCATCACAGAGCCACACAATGGAATACTGTACAACCGTGAGCACGAGAAATTGCAGCTTTAACTATGTGCAGCCACGTGGGTTAATATCATGAATACAATGGTGAGCAACACAAGCTGGATGAGAGGAGAGTACATGCTGTTTGAGTTCATTTGAATAAAATTCAGAAACAGGAAAAACCAATCCACCATGTTAGAAGTCTGTTTAGTGGGTACCCTGGGGGAGGTGGGAGACAGCTGGAATTGGAAGGGAGGAGAAGGTTGCTCACAATGCTTGGTTTCTTGATTTGAGTGTTGGTTACAAAGGCATGTTTGCTTTGAGAACATTCTTCAAGCTCAATGCTTATATAATTTCTGCACCCACTTTTCTGCATGTATGTTATACTTCGATAATAGTACATTTTAAAATAACTAAAAGGGTATAATTGGATTGTTTGTGACACAAAGGATAAATGCTTGATGGGATGGATACCCAATTTTCCATGATGAGATTATTATGCATTGCATACCTGTATCCAAGCATCTTATGTACCCCATAAATATATACACCTATTATGTACCCACAAAAATTAAAACATTTTTTCAAAAAGCTTACCAAAAAGAGTTAGTGTCTCTGCTCTCCAAAGCATGCAAATGTCAATACTTGAGAAGTGTTTCACAGAAATGCACACAGAGCTTACCATGTTTATATATCCTTTTAAATTTAAGAGTATTTATTCAGCTCACAGATTTTCATGTCCTTAACGAAATAGCAAGACAGTTTAGGTAAACACAGGAATTACTTCTGAGCTGCGAAGCTGAGTTCTAAAAGAATGATGGTTAGGAGTAAACAAAAGAATGAAGACTAGATATTGAACATCAATAATAATGTCAAGAATAAAGCTTATGCATTGAGTCTTAAAGAGCAAGACAGGACTACAGTCTGCAGCCTACTTCTGTGAGCCCACTGCTCAGAGAAGTTTTGAATCTGAATGTAACGTTAAACAAGTGAGCGGAGGCAACCTAATAAAAGCAACAGCTTAGAAAGGTAAAAACCTAGAAATAAAGAACTATGGCATATGAGTATAACTTTCTTTGAAACCCACATAACTTTCATATTCTTTCTGAGAGACAATGTTTGAGTAGGAGGAATTCTTAAGAAAGCTGTCATACTAAAAAGAAAAGGTATAAGAACTAGTGAAAGATTAAGACACATGCACACACAGGTGCATATTTATCAATTGATTTATATTACATCTAAAATATATTATTTATGTAATTAGATCTAACAGATATATGCATACATGTATGTATATAAATATTGACATTTAGTTCCAGTATTACCAGAATTGTGATTCCTGGAAACTGACAACAGATTTGAGAAAGGACACCAGGACAGCCCAACCAGTATGACGAGGTCCTAACCACCAGTACCACATAGGGGTCTGGCTGCCCTTTGTATTCAATGAGCAGCCTCTAGACTCATCTGCTTTGCGGTCAAATCTAAAGTCTCCGTTACAGATAGATGCACAGTGGGTTCTTTTCCTTCAAGGAAAAAAATAGGTTTCGATTTAACCTATCTTCCACTCTGGGTTGGCCATCTGTAAAGAAAACTGCAATCCATAAAGTGTCAAAGAAGAGAGGTTAAAACAGCAGCAGGTGGGTTAGAGGTAAGGCTTCCCAAGAGAAAAACACTCTAAAGTAAACGAAAATTTATTTCTAGTGACCAAGGGTATGCATTTCTTTTATCTTTAAAAGACATCTGTGCTCTATATTTTGTGGTACTTTATTCAAAATACAGGGTAAAAATATTTGAGAATGAGCAGATGAACCAAGTCTCTGTAGCTTTCAATCAAGACTTCAAAAATCCAGATTATGTTGTCTCTTCTTTCTATTTATTTACATGTTCAATGTAAGAAGAAGAACTAAAATAAGTAGGGTAAAAATTTGTTGCTTTGTTGGAGGCCTTATTTCAGAATTTTTGTATTCAATAGGCACACATAACCATGGATTTCTTCTAATTCATTATACAAGAATAAACAGAAACACAGAAAGCTAAGAAATTCTCACTCTTCACTATTCTAGAAACTATGGATTTTTAAATTAAAATTATTTTTGTTTTTAACTTAAGGTTTTCTTTAGGCGGCTAATCTTATACTCTAAAAAGTTTGTAACACTTATTCCCAAATCTTATTTAAAAAGCAATTAATTTTTTGACTGGATAAAAACCATCTATCCCTGCAGATGTCGTCTTTAGAAATCTTGGCTGGCTACCTGACTCCTCCATTGATTTCTGATATGTCAACTGTTGCATTCAAAAGACAAATGGCACCAAATATGTAACAACTGCAAAAACCTTTAAATAAAAGGGGTTTTTCATGCTTTTACTTATTTAATAAAATTGAATACTCTCTTTAAGGTTTGACAGTATAGTTATCTCTCCCTGCCCTCCCACCCCACCCCGTCACCATTTCCAACTTTATTATTGAGATCATATCAGATTTTGACCTTGTTTGTCCTGTAAGTCTCACATATATCTCTTTTCTGTGGCCAATTTTCCAAGGTCACGGGTTTCTTTACCTTCAATACTTTAAGTATTGATTAGCTTGCTTTGTCAATTTTCTATTTGTTTTGCAGTCAGGAATGTCAAACCAGTGTTAAGCAATTCAGCACTGCAGTTTGCCCAGCCTGCATAAACCTCCTGTTCCCTTTTACAACCCTTCCTGAAAATAGAGTAGCTGCTCGCAAAAGGAGTATGAAAATCAAGCCAGCGCTTGCTCGGAGCTGGTCGGCTAGTGTAAGGCACAGCATATTGCAATTAGCATCCAATCATGTTAAGTAGTGATACACTTCAATATTTGTGTGAGCCTGCCTTGTAGAATTTAATACTCAGACAGCCATTTTGCAAAACACAGCAGGGCCATGAAATAAGGGCTATTTCAGTGAAAGAGTCACAGGATGATAAAGCTGTTGCAACAGCTGTGTCATCCATCCAGTGATTATTATCTACTATTTTTCTGAAGCTGCTCAAAATAGGATTTAGTGTTAGCCTCTGCGCCTATCTATAATTTGTCAAACTCCGTGGTATTTCTTCCCCCCACCATCCCATCATTCAAATATGAAAACAGGACTACTCTAGGTAAAAGAGAGTATCAACTGGTTTGAATGAGGCAGATCTCTGAGACAATGGACTTCTCAAACCAATCCCCGCGCAAGTTATTTCCAACCTTATCAAAGTCACAAGGCACAAAAGACAGATAAAAACATCTCTGGGAAAAAATAAATATCTCAGAATCTCCTATACCTCAGATTCCTTGAAAACTCATGGTACGAAATGATCGACTGTCTGGTTGGTTCAGCACAGGGAATAAAAACAGCTGAAAGAGGCAACATGCACCAGACAGACACGAATAGTATTTTCAGCTCCCAGCTGCAATTCTACAGCAATAGAAACTTACATAGGACACCCGTACTCGCCGGCGATGCACCAGCCCGCAGCACTGCATGAAGAGGGGGCAGAACGCAGTCAGCGTGTGGCTTCACCAAGCTGCACTGTGCCTTGTCTTCTCGTCACAGCCTCGGTCCATTTCTTCCCACCTTCTACTCCCAGGTAAGAGGCATGAGCAAATCACTTAGCTTCTGCCTCCTAGGTAGTTTCTAAAAAAGCCACCGTTCCTGCAGGCATGCCAAAACTTTGTTCTCCCCTGTTTGTCTTTTTTTGGGGGTGGGGGGCGTAATTTGAGATCTTCTTCAAGGGGGTTTCCTATTTGCAAAAATCTACAAGAAGTAGCATTAATTTTCCGGAAGTAAGTATTGCTAACACAGAGTTAGGACTGTCCAGATCGTCAGAGTTTCTTGGTGACGCTTTTACAGTAGCCATTCTCAACTCGGGAGATTTTCAAACATCTGAGTGTCTTGCATTTCGCGACCCTGCAGTACTCTGCTTTTGAAAAGCAGGAGGCCTACTCCTGCTGCTGTTTATGTGACTGCTTCTTAGCACGCTGCTGTTCCTGCTCCCGCGGCTGCTCGCCTATGATTGCCTTCTTCACAATGCACAGGCTGACAGCAGCATCCTGGATTCACTGTTACCTCTGTAACGTTTTGGGCATATCTGATTTGCTACTTCTCCCTCCTCCCCTGACCCTGAAAAATGACTGAGTCTAGACTCGAATTCACTGTGGATTCCTAGGACTACAGAAACATCCTCCAAACCGTCAGATGCTTTGTCCTGCAGTAGGTATTTCACATGAATTGTAAGGAGGATCGCCAGAGTGGCCTCAGGACCTGACTCGCTCAAGCACTGCGGCGCACAGTTGTTTGGTGCTCGCTGGCAAATGTTCATTTTCTGGGTTAAAGCATGTTAAATAAACATAACTCTGGAAGGCGAATTTGATCCGACTCAGACCTCATTAATTCATTAGATCTCATACCACCTATGATTTAGATATAATAAACTACATAAGGCTGCCTTCCAAGTGTGAGAGCTCCCAAGTCAATATTCTTTGTAAGCTATTATTTAGATCTTTCCCTAAAGACCCAGTTTTCAGGGACTGAGCTGATCCTAATATTCTCCCTAAAGACCATGTAAATGTCACACCTAAAAAGATGAATCATTAAGACATGTGGAGATTCAGCTGTTCATTGGTATGATATCAGCCATTCTAATACGCAATATCTTTAGTGTGTCACAGATATTGATCCAAATTTGCACCCATGCCCAAGTCATTCCATATTCTGTTGAGACCTAAGAAGGTATGTTAATGATTTCATGTCACAGATTAACCACCACTACATCCTTTAGGCTCCTGGAAAAATAAAAGACAATTAATTCTCAACACTTTACCAGTATTTTCTCAAGGCTTTTTTGAGATAGGGTCTTACTCTACTGCCCAAGCTGAAGTGCAGTGGTGCAATCATGGCTCACTGCAGCCTTGAACTCTTGATTGCCTTGCTCAGGCAGTCCTCCCACCTCCGACTCCCAAGTAGCTAGAATTGTAGGTGCATGCCACCACACCTGCTTAATTTTTTTTTTTTTTTTTTTTTCTGAGACAGAGTCTCACTCTGTCACCCAGACTGGAGTGCAGTGGCACAACCTCAGCTCACTGCAACCTCCACCTCCAGGGCTCAAGCAATTCTCCTGCCTCAGACTCCTGAGTAGCTGGGACTACAGGTGTGCACCACCATGCCTGGCTACTTTTACTTTTTTTTTTTGTTTGTTTTTTGTTTTTTTTTCAGTAGAGATGGAGTTTCACCATGTTGGCCAGGCTGGTCTTGAACTCTTGGACTCAAGTGATCTGCCAAGCTTGGCCTCCCAAAGTGTTGAGATTACAGGTGTAAGCCACAGTGCCCAGCCTAATTTTAAAAATTTTTTTATAGAGACAGGGGTCTCACTTTGTTGCCCAGGCTGGTCTCAAACTCCTGGCTCCAGGCCATTCTCCTGCCCCAGCCTCCCAAAGTGCTAGGATTACAAGTGTGAGTCACCATGCCTGGCCTTTAAAGTCTATGATTTAAAGCAACACTTTTATATTATTATTAATAGTCTAAGAGGTTGATAGAGGTGACAAAAAAATTCTGCCTTAATCTCCTTATTTAACTGACAAACTGGGTCCCAAAATGATTCCATGTTTTGTTTATCAGTAATATAAGCAATAGCATAATTTAAACTCTGAAACTTATATAATCTACATAGTCTGTGAAAATTCTATGGTCCTATCATATACTAGTTAAACCTTTGTGGATTTGAAGGTCCAAAAGGAAAATAACATAGTCTATAGACAGAAAATAAGGACACTTTAGTGATTAAATCAGAAACCTAGAGTAAAACAAAATTTCTGAATTACACTGTAAATTGGCTCTTGAAGTACATCCTGGAAAAAAAAAAAAATCCCTCACCATTTTCTGAACCATACATGATATATTCCAAGTAGGTAGGACTTCAATTTGATTTTTTAAAGAAACTTCAGTGAGAGGAACACTAAGTAATATAAAAGAACACATAATTCAAATTCAAGTTTTTTTTTGTTTTTTGTTTGCTTGTTTGTTTGTTTTTGACACAGAGTTTCGCTCTTGTCACCCAGGCTCGAGTGCAGTGGCATGATCTCAGCTCACTGCAACCTCCACCTCCTGGGTTCAAGTGATTCTCCTTCCTCAGGCTCCTGAGTAGCTGGGATTACAGGTGCCCGCTACCAGCCTGGCTAAATTTTTGTATTTTTAGTAGAGATGGGGTTTCACCACGGTAGGAAGTCTGGTCTTAAACTCCAGTCCTCGTGATCCGCCCGCCTCGGCCTCCCAAAGTGCTGGGATTACAGGCGTGAGCCACCGTGCCCGGCCTCAAGTTTTTTCTTAAGGCCCCTTCATCACCTCTATCACCACATTTTTACTAGAATAACTGAATAAAGAATAAAAATTTAGCTTAAAGTTAGAATAAGATGAAAACACTGGGGAAATGATCTATCCCCTCTATGATTCTGAATTTGATTTGGAATTCACTTAACATTTTATTAACTATGATATTTTTATACACAATATGAGAGAGATTCCCCCATTCATTAGATATTCCACCCACCTTGTCATTCAAGAATCCACAAAAGGATTCCAAGCACTAACTAATTTGATTCGGCAAACATTTATAGAGCACCTTCTGTTTGCTCAGTGCTGTGCTAAGGTGCTGGGGATATGAAATGAATAAAATACAATCCATGTATTCCTCTAGGCACGTATAAGAACTGAGGAGGCTGGGCGGGGTGGCTCACGCCTATAATCCCAGCACTTTGGGAGGCCCAGGTGGGCAGATCACCTGAGGTCAGAAGTTTGAGACCAGCCTGACCAACATGACGAAACCTCGTCTCTACTAAAAATACAAAAATCTGCTGGGCAGGGTGGCACATGTCTGTAATCCCAGCTACTCGGGAGGCTGAGGAAGGAGAATTGCTTGAACCTGAGAGGCAGAGGTTGCAGTGAGCCGAGATCATGCCACTGCACTCCAGCCTGGGTGACAGACGGAAACTCCATCTCAAAAAACAGAGGAAAGAGAACACAGTGTTTCAGAGCAATGGGAACGCCAAGGGAACAACTCCTAACCATCCCTGGAAGGAAAAATAGAGCCTTCACAAAGATGAGGACACTTGGGCTGGCCTTGCAGAATGGACGGAATTGCATTCAGTGGAAAGTGCGAGGGAGAAAGGATCCCAGGCAATGGGCAGAAGATGCAAAAGCACAGAAGGTTACATACAGAACATACACAGAACAAATTGTGTTTCTATAGTGTATACGAAGAAGGGTATCTTCAGACAACAGGGATCTACCCCAAGTCCTCATTCTAAACTCAGTTCTCCACCAGATTCAGTCTTTACTTATCTCTATATCCCTAGCACTTAGCACAGTGACTGAAACATAGTAGGTATCACAAAGATTCATAGTTGTCCCCTCCTGATCCATTCTTTACTTCATTTACAGTAATAGAGACAGACATCGGCTGCTGGGCTAAGATGAATGTCCCAGCTTCTCCTGCAACTTGGATGGCCACGGGACTAGATTCTGGTCAATGGGCAGATGTAGAAATGGTATGTGCCAATACCCAAGTCATGTGTCACTGCTGAGAGCTGGGACAGCCATTTATAATGAGAAGAAAGCTGCACATTCAGGAGAAGAGAGCGACAAGACAGACCCAAGTCCCTAGGACAGGGGAGCTGCCATATTGGCCCAATAGTGTTTACGTTTGGACTACACCAAGAAAGAGACATTAACTCCTATATTGGCACTTTTGCTCTGATTCCAATTATAGATGCTAAACTTGTACTATTATTACTATTGTTATTATTATTAATTTTTGAGACAGGGTCTGTGTCTGTTACCCAGGCTGGAGTGCAGTGGTGCAGTCTCAGCTCACTATAGCCTCAACCTCCTAGGCTCACAGTGATCCTCCCACCTCAGCCTCCCAAGTAGTAGTTGGGACTACAGGTATGTGCCAACATGCGCAGCTAATTTTTGTATTTTTTTGTAGAGATGGGGTTTTGCCATGTTTCCCAGGCTGGTCTTGAACTCCTGAGCTCGTGCAATCTACCCACCTTGGCCTCTCAAAGTGCTGGGATTAGAGGCCTGAGCCACCATGCCCGGCCTAAACATGGATTTTAAAAGCACCTCAAAGTGTTTCTGGAATGAATGATGAATTCACAGATCCAAGCCTGTGGAGGAGGCGGGGGAGTGGAAGAGGGAAAAAAGAAAAGGCAAGAATGGAGACGAGAATCAGGAACTCAGGCTGGGACTACCTGGGTCCCAGCAAAAGAGTTTAGACACAGCAAAGAGTTTAGAATTGAACTGGCAGTACATGCAGAATTACTGAAACTTTTAAATGTGAAAATATCTGTTGTTTTATTAAGAAGTAGAAAAAAAATTCCAGACTGTTGAGTCTAAAAATAACCTGGTCAATAGTTCAACTTCAGCAAGAAATTGAAAGCTTTTGAGCTTGTATACTTGTCTGTGATAACTGTTCATTTACTAAATAATCAAATAAAGTCAACAAAAACTAGCTGCTTGGCTCATGTAGCTAAATTACAAACCTAATGAATTGCTAAATTAGCTATTTTGTTATAATACGAGATATCTTAAAAGCAAAATATTGAAAAGCGTTAAGAAGAGGCTCAATGACAAAAATCAACAAATTAAAAGTAATCAAAGGTAAATGTAGATAATATCGATGGAAGATATATGTTTTTAAATCCAAGGGATTTATTCCTGGCCAGTCTTTTGAAAGTATGAGGATTAATGTTTCTTTACTATTCACTTTCTATGTTACTATTAGTTAGGAGTGGCAAGAACACAGTCAGAGTTAAACATCAGATGAAGTGCTTCCTTCAAGAAGAGAACTCTTTCATAATAAGAAATGAAAGACCTAAAGAAGCCTTCTGTAGCAGAACTGAAGGTTTTTTGTCAGAATTGACTCTGCTTAAGTGCTTCTGGCTTTTCTGTGGCTGCGATTTTAGGAAAGAAGGGTCCGTCTTCTGACAGACACCTGCTTAAATACTCATTAGACTCTCCCTTCACAGTACGTCTGCAACTATGAAGAGCCTAGGGTGCTTAAGTTGACCAAAAACTCTTGCTAATTTCAGTAAAAACAAAAAAAGGACCAACTGTCTCTATCCATCCATTCAGTCAACAATATCAACTGAGTGCTGCTCATCAAGTGCGTGTCTCTGCTGGGCACCAGTAGGAAAACGACAAGTAAAACAACCAATGTCCTTGCCTTCAAGGAGCTTAAAGTCCAGGGGGCAAGGCAATTTGAATCAAATAATCACATAAGCATAGAATTACAAGCTAATAAGATCTTTGCATGAATGTACAGAATACTATGAGAATGTAGAGGGGGTTGACATCTTCGAGAATTAGAAGGGTCAGAAAAGGTGTCTCTGGGGCACTGCTACCTGAGCTGAGGCTCAAGGGTGGGAAGGAGTTCACTAAAGGCAGGGAGAGGGAAGCTCTACGTGGTAGAAGGGAGAAGGCCCAGCTTAAGCAGTTGGAGAATAAAGTAAGAGAGGGAGGAGAAGATGAGGTTAGAGAGGCAGGTGATTATCAGGCAAGATCATGAGGGCCACGCTGGGGATCTTTTCTCTTTCTACTAAGAGCAGTGGGATTTCTTTCCCACAAGAGGCATGATCAGATTTGTGCCATTTAAAATCCACTTTGGCAGGACAGTTGAAGACAGATTGGAAGACGGCTAGAGAGAAGCCAGGGAGATCAGCTAGGAAGTACTTTTACCCAAGCAAAAGATGATGCTCTCATGCTAAGGAGCTGAAGATGGGAGATAAGGAAAATGAATGAATCTATTAGATATTGGGGAATTCAAGTAGGTAAGTGCAAGGACAGAAACAGAAAATGAAACCCAATGTAATACATACACGTTCCCGTGTTCTCTCATTCCTGAACATTTCCATGCATTTCTGAAGTTCAGTCTTCAGTAATCCGATCTGTGATAAACCTTTGTTTTCATGTCAGTGCCAGTGTACTTCTATTTCTTGGTCCAGTCCTCATTTCTCTCCTTAGGGTCCTGAACAAAATCTCTATCTGGCTGCTTGCAGCTTCCACTGAACTCCACTTCTTTAGCCACCAAAATGCACACTCTATTTCATTCCAGCTTCTACAGAACTGAAAACCTTTCTCTAATTTTCCTTTATTTCTCACCAAAGTGTCTGGGTTGTCTTTTGATGTACGGGATTTTTTTTGGTTTTTGTTTTGTTTTTCAGACCAACAATCAATCATTTTTTTTTCTCAGTAATGAGAGTGGCAACATTTGTTTATTTACCACCTAGACGCAGATAGCAGGAGAAGTAAATAAGATAACTAAAAGCAATGAAATTAGGGAAAAAGTCATACTTTTGAAATTACTAATAATCATGGAATGCACACTAAACCTCAATGATAAATTTAAAACATATTTTGTGTTATTGAGGTAGACTACACTTGCTACATTCAAGATTGTGAGAACAAGATTGTGTAACCCTAATAAATCCCAGTTCTCTGATAGCCCAGTCATACTTAAAGGAATACAATGTAGCAACAAAAACTTGAAAATCAAATGCCAATTTTTAATTGCGTAGCTCAAAGAATGTAACACAGGATCCTATAATCCACACAGCAACACTTCTCAAACATCCTTTTTCCTTTCCTCCCTGATTCTCTCATAACCAAAGCCATTTGAGGACCTATGCTTTCTAGCACAAACAAAAACATCAAAAATGGACTCTCCCACGTACAGAGTTCCTGACTCTCTCTTCCTCAACCTATATCCCTCAGCTTCGTATGATGTAAATTTGCTTAGTTTCTGGGCTTTTAAAAATTTTCTTTACATTTGCCCTATTGTACCCATCATTCAGATTCTAAACAAGAAGAGCCAGGAAACAAAAACCTGATTCCTTTTATTTTGTATCTTCAGCCAATTGTCTTCGCGCCCAAACTTCAGATTTCATGCTCCAGAGTCGGGGGCAATGATAGAACATTATTACATGGGGATGGAAGGAGAAGCACTGAGTAGAGAAAAGTAAAATTCTCTTTATTACAGGGAGTGGAGGAAGTGAGAAAGGAGAGGGGAAAAGGCGAGGCATATTCATGTCTTAAATTTTCCACACTCTCAGAGAATCCATTTGACCAGTTCATTTCATTCATTGTAGATCTAAGAAAATGCAACATGTATATAAGAAAGAAAATGGTAGCTTTTTGGTGGCAAAAGACAAGAAAGGCTATTCATAGTGTAACATTTCATGAACAAATCTAGGATGATAACAGGATAAAATATTTCCCAGCAGCAATTTTGATTTCCTCTTTGTTTGGAAAGACCACGAAAGAGAAACATACCATTTCTCTGAAGTTGCCATAAAATACTCCTGATAGATTTTAGAATTCTATGATGTATCTAATGAACTGCATATATTTTTATTAAAATTCATACTTGTCATAAATATTGCTATGTACTCAGCCCCACCAGTATCTGACTTACCTTACTATGCAATTCATTTAAAAAATGGACTGTTTGCAACTTTTTAAAAACCCAGGGACTCAAGCGAAGAGGTACAAAGAGTTTCACTGACTCCTGCTAAGTTCCAGTCACTATTCTAAACACGTCACTAGCTCATCCTCTGATTCTCATGACAACTCCATGAGCCCTTCATCTCCATTTCATATACGAAGTGATTGAGGCACTGTGAAGTCAAGTAAGTTGCTCAAGGCAATGGCAGAGTTAGAACTTCTATCCAGATGTTTGACTCCTGAGCCCATGGCTTTAAACCTCTTCCTACCTTCTCTTTGAAAGGTGAAAATTAATTTTATAAGCTGACCTTGGAGGATCACATAATGGTTAATTAACCAATCCAGTCATACAACAGGCACTTTTCCACCCGAGCCATCATCTGCCTACCTGCCTACCTTTCAGAGGTTCCCCTTCCAGCAGTTTCCCAAATCACCTTTCTGCAAAAACATTCCCACCTTATACTTTTTCCTTGCGCTTTCTTGCAAAGTCTGAAATTTTACCAATTGGAAAATTCATTTTATGCCACAAGTATCTTCTTATAAAAATTAAACCTCTCTTAAATATAAGCACTATGACAAATTATTTAAAACCATATTTCATCTACCTACAGCTATGTATCTATCTATTCCTCACCTTGTTTCAGAAATAATTTAAGGCAATTTACAAGGATAAATTTTAAAAGGACACTTAAATAACATAAAAGAGGGATTAAAAGAAAAAAAGCAAAGCAAAGATGGCAATACAAAATGCAGAAACAAGGCTCGAAATGCATCCCATAATAATGGAAGTACTTCTTACTATGAGCCATAGATCTGGCTGTAAGCTTTCGAGCAGCCAACTCAAAAAGTGAAACTCGGTCGGTTATGTAATTTACCATCCATAAGCTTAAAATAAACCAAATGCTCAAAAGAACGACTCTGTTTGGCACTAACACCAGACACCGATTTCTCCTGGAGGCCCCATAAAAAGGAACATTGTGTAAACTTATGAACAGCATTCCTTCCGGTAAATGCCCCAGTGGGTTCTGAAAAGCTGCTTCTTAGACTGACGGTCAGGGGAAGCTAAAGGTTTCCCACCATAGCAACATTCAGTAAAATAATCTGGGCAGAGAGAAAGGACAATAGGTTAGATAAGATAATTAACTCCTTATAGATTTGGCTTGACCCAAGAATAGTAATAAAAACAATGACAAAAAACATTAGCATTTATTTACTGATACAGGCACCCAGTGAGCATTATTCCTTTAATCCTCATATCAATTATGAAGAAGACTATTACTCTTTATCCCTGGGTGATATGGTTTGGCTCTGTGTCCCCACTCAAGTCTCATGTTGAATTGTAACACCCAGTGTTGGGGGAGGGACTTGGTGGGAGGTGACTGGATCATGGGGGCAGATTTCCCCCTTGCTGTTTCTTGTGATAGTGAGTTCTCACGAGATCTGATGGTTTAAAAGCATGTAGCACTTCCCTCTTCGCGCTCTCTGTCCCCTTTTCCACCATGGTAAGATGTGGTTGCTTCCCCTTCACCTGTCTGCCATGATTATAAGTTTTCTGATGGCTTCTCAGCCATGCCTCCTGTATAGCCTGTGGAACTGAGTCAATTAAACCTCTTTTCTTCATAAGTTACCCAGTCTCAGGTAGTTCTTTAGAGCAGTGTGAGAACGGACTAATACAGTGGGTTACAAATGAGGAAACAGACTTAAGAGTTGAGGCCGGGCATGGTGGCCCACGCCTGTAATCTCAGCACTTTGGGAGGCCGAGGTGGGTGGATCACCTGGGGTCAGGAGTTCAAGACCAGCCTGGCCAACATGGTGAAACCCCATCTCTACTAAAAATACAAAAATTGGCTGGGCGTTGTGGCAGGCGTGTGTGACCTCAGCTACTCAGGAGGAGGCTGAGGCAGGAGAATCACTTGAACCCAGGAGGTGGAGGTTGCAGTGAGCTGAGATCATGCCATCACATTCCAGCCTGGGCGACAGAGTGAAACTCCATCTCAAAAAAAGAAAAAAAAAAAGAGCCGAGAGACTTGCTTAAGGCTACAAAATTCATATGCAGCAGAAATAGGATTTGAACCCAGATTTGCTGAACTGTAAAAATCTAGCTCCCAACCGGAGTTTTAGACACTGAATGAATTCTGTGTCTATTAAACAATCCCACTGAGTGTTGTTTCTCATCAATGAGCTTCAGATAAATATTTGAGGGCAATGACCTTAAGACTACTCAACACAGATGCATATCATTTACCAACAAAGCTGGAAGTAATAAAAGATGAAGACACTTAAGGGAAGGCCATCCACCTCAGCTTGCAGCTGTAGTTAAAGCAAACGGCTTTTCCTCCCAACACCTAACTACCAATGAGAAGTTCCAGAGACTGGGGAGAAGATGATGTAGGTAGCTTTGGTGCATGGACACTTCAGGAGTAAGAGCAGACCTGGGAGGGAGTTGGAGCATAAACCTGCACAGTATTGGATAACTGGATGAGGGCTTAAGAAAGTAGAGATGGGGAAACGGAAATGGAGGAAGCCAAAGATGGATCTTGTTTCATTCAAAATCAGTTTGCGATGGTCTTGATTCTACCACTAGGCTGTACAGTGGTCGTAAGTATCTAGATATCCTAAATCTTAAATATTTAATTTTCCAAAAATAAAAGACATTCGTCCATAGTCATTGCTAGCTTAGGCACCCTCTACATTTAGAATGGACAACTTTCAAAAAAAAAAAAAAGAGAGAGATAAAATTGACAATAGGCAGACCTCCTTGACCTCTTAGAAAGATGAGTTTTGAGCAGAACAAAGTGAATAAAGTGAAGGAGTCAGACAACATGGCAGAAGAAAAGTCCAGGCAAATGCCCTGAGGCAGGAACACACTTTGCCCACAGAAAGGACAGTAAGAAGTTGCCTATGGATGAAGCCCGTTGAGTGGCCAGATCATATAGGTTCACAAAGTTACAACAAGGACTGCATTTTCTTCTAATTGGGAGGAAAGCCACTGGAGGACTTTGAAAAGGACACCTAGCTTGATTTATATCTCAGAAGTAGTATTCTGCCTGCTGTGTGGAGACTGCCAAGAGCTAATGAGGAAACACAGAGATGAGTTTTTAGACTATTGCAATAGTTCAGATAAGAGAGAAGGGCTTGGTCTAAAGTGTTCGTGCGAGGACACCTTGAGAAGTGGTAGGATTCTGGATATATTTTGAAGTCCAGTGTGACAGAATTGACCTATAGATTGATGTCTTATTGGAGAGAAAGAATCCAAGAATGAGTCCAGTTGGAAGCTGGAAGGGGGGAGATGGGGCTGAGCAACCATTCACATGATTGCTCCATTTCCTGAGAAGAAAAATATTTAGGGAGGAGCAGGATCAGAGGAGAAAACAAAAAATACTTTTGCAGGGATATTAATTTTGAGACGTCTGTAGGACATCGATGTGGAGCAGTCAGGTAGGCAATTTCATATATAATCCCAGGGTCCAGAAGGGAGGTGTGAGTAGAGAAATAAACTAGGAAGGTGGCATATAGATGGTCTTGAGAACCACAAGCTTTTGTGAAATTCCCTTGAGAAATTTCCCAAGAAAGAGGAGCTGAAAACTGATTCCTGGAGCATCTCGCCCATTAGAGGTGAGGTCAAGTAAGATGAAGACTGAGAACTGACCATCAGATCTGGTCAGGTAGAGGCCACTGATGATAGCATCTCAAGTGAAGTCATTGGGGGGACAGAGTCAAGAGTCTGAAATGAGTTCAATAAAGAGAGCGAGGTGAACAATTTGATACAGTGGGTGGACACACATTTTTCAAGGAGATTTTCTTAAGCAGAGAGTAGAAAAATGAAAACAAAGCTGCAAAGAGATGCAGGAATAAGACATTTTTTTTTCTTGGAATAGGAGGTATTACAGGTAAGAAAGGAAAAACAAAAGACACTTCAACAGAGATCACAGATAATTGTAGGAGCAAAGTCCTTGGTTGGGCCAAGGGGCTGGAACCCCATGCATAAGCAGAGTGGTTGGCTCAGATAGACTCTTAGTTGGTTCACCCACTGTCGCAGGAAGGAAGCAGAAGATTTGGGTACCAGTGGGTGGATTTAATGGTAGCAGTAGTGGGAAGGTCTTTTTAGAGAGTTGCTATTTTCTCAGATGAAATTAGGAGAAAGATCATTAACCGAGAATGAGGAGATGGGAGAAACTGTTGCAGATTTAAGTACAAGGAAGGTGTGAAAGAGACCTCTCAGGAGTAGGTGAGTGGACTGGCCAGGAAAACAGAATCAACAGGTAGAATTGAGTGCAGGTGGATATTTGTGGTCATGAACTTCCAGTAAAACAGTGCCCAGAGTGGTCTTTTTCCCCCACTATGTGTGTCTGCTGAAATTCAAGGGCAGAGTGAATGAGAGTCAGGTTTAGGCTGATGTCACATTTCCCAGGAAAATAAGACAGAGGGAGAGAGGAACAGAGAGTTGAGAAAGTCTGTCTCCATCACGGGAACTCAGATAAGGAAGGAAATGAGGATCTGAGGAGAGGAGGTGATGGGCTATCAAACGATGTTGGTTACAAAGATATAAAATTACAGGACAGAACAAGAGGAAGACTTCTCAGAGAGTGATATTGGATATGTCCAATGAGATCATAGACATTCTCTTTTAAGATATGTTTAAAAGAAGCTCACTTCTCCTAATATTGAATTAGCTATGAGCTACATAGTGACAAAGAAATGAATGAGGAAAATCTCAATTTTTCTTTTCCTATTGGATTTAGTTGAGAACACTATAAGAATGACAGATACAACAGAAAAAGTTCTTCTCAAATTTAAGATCAGAAATAGTAGAACTTGGGGAGATTCATATGATTTATGACAAAATACTTCAAAAAATGTATTTGCCCAATTACTTTTTAATTATTAGACCACAGAAGTATTCCATTATTCTTACTTATGAATCAGACACTCACCAAAGGTAAATTAATTGAAATACGAATTTTTAATTTTTGAAAGATCCAACTCATTATGTTTGACACAAGCAGTATGTTCTCTACTTCCTCATAAAGAACAGTTCATTTGGGTCCTAACATCAGCTCAATTAGCTTGGAAAAGTGGGGCTTTTCTACTGAATTTGAAGGCTAAAGTTTGTGGATTTCAATTTCTCTTTTCTAGTTTGGTAGGTACTGTGGTCTGAATCTTTGCATTTCCCTCAAAATTCATATGTTGCAACCTAATCACCAATGTGATGGAATTAGGAGAGGCCTTTGGGAGGTGATTAGGTCATGATTGGGATTAAGCACCATTATCAAAGAGGTCCCAGAGAGATCCACTGCCCCTTCCACCATATTAGAACACAGTAAGAAGGTACCATTTATGAAACAGGGGAAGCTGTGTGTTACTGTAACATCATCAGAGGTACTCTATGTCATATGCATTAGCATTCAGAATGAAATCATGGTTTCCTTTACCCCAGAAAAGGTGGTCCTCACAGATACTATGAAGGTAATGGAGTAAAAGATCTAAAATTTATGGAAACTCAGAGGGGGAGAGTTTGTCACCAGACACCAAATCTGCCTCAACCTTCGACTTCCCAGCTTCAGAACTGTGAGAAATAAATGCATTTTTGATAAGCCACCCAATTGATGCTATTTCATTACAGCAGCCTGAATGGACTTAGACAAAGTTATTTTGCAAAGTACCTACAGATGTGCCTAAAATCACAGTATGATTTTTTTTTTAAGAGATGATGGAAAGAATATAATCATTTGGGATATTTGGCAACCCTGACAATCTTCCTATATCCAGCCGGCACTTCATACCCCCTACTGGGCAACTCTAAAGAAAACTAACACATTGACTATTCTGTCTCTTGGTTCTATTTTGGCTTATGATGAAGCGGAGAAGTAAAAATATGTTTGAATGGTCCTTTATTGGGAATTGGTGTTAGTTGGACAAGAAGAAGATCCTGAGGGATTTGGGGACTGATCAAGGAAAAAGATACGATGTCTAGGAGGTGGCTAAAGCACACACAGCTTTACTGGGTAATTATGACAACTCTGCATGGGAGGAAGCCCCTCACAGCAGGATTCTGTGCAGAGGCTATGGCACACAGAGGTTGCTACTTAGAAGGGGAGAAGGGCCAGGGAATTCCCAGGAGAGGAGATAGCAGACGGGTCTCACGTGTCGAGGTGATGTCATTCAGCAGTAGGGTGGCAGTCTCTGGGTCAGAGAGCTCTGAAGGCCCCAGCAGATTATGCCTTACAACTGCGAGGCTGCATCTTACCTACGGTCAGCAGGTGGAAATGAGGTTTCACGGGGTATGCAAGGCAGGCAAAAGGGCTTAAAAAACTACTTATTCGGGCTAGGTTTAAAACAACTGGATGGGCTGGGTCTGGTGGCTCATGCCTGTAATTCCAGCACTCAGTGAGGTCAAAGTTGAAAGACTGCCTGAGGCCAGGAGTTCGAGAACAGCCTGGGCAAAATAGTGAAACCCTGTCTCTACAAAACAAACAAACAAACAAAAAACAAAACTAAAAAACCCTGAAAATTAGCCGGGCCTGGTGGTGCATGCCTGTATTCCCAGCTACTCAGGAGGCTGAGGCGGGAGGATCACTTGAGCCCAGGAGTTGGAGGCTGTAGTAAGCCATGATCGCACCACTGCACTCCAGCCTGTATGACAGAGTGAGACCCTGACTGTAAACACAAACAAATAAATAAATAACAGCTGGGTGTGTAAACATTTGAGATTGGTACCATTAGGCTTCTGAGATAATGCATTTCAACCCCCATTGAAGAAATAAACAACCTGGGGACCAATACACAGAGCCTATCTTTACCTCATTTATGTAACAGAGGAAGTAGAGAAGACATTGTAAAAATGTTTTTTTTTAAAAGAAAGAGAGAACTAGGAGCCTTATCCTCCTCTCAAAATTTGGAAGTTCCCTAAGGTTATAATATTATTAATATAATACTAGTTAAACATTTATAGAGTGCTTGTTATGTGCTGAGCACTTCACATTTAATTATTGTAACCATCCTTCAAGATAATATTTTTGTACCAATTTAGCACACAGGAAAGCTGAGCCTAGAGGTTCCTAACTGGCGTAAGCTCTCAGAGCCAGGGGAAGGGTAGTGGGCTTCAATTCTAGGCAGTCTGAATAGAGAATTGGTGTGTTTAACCCAGTAGACACACAGTCTTTCATCTGAGGTTTCTTCCTCTCGGAGATCAAGAGGGTCACTGCACCTTTTGACCTGGAGCTGTTCTCCGGGTTCCAGGAGTAGAAGAGCCAACAGAATCCTTTCTGACCATTTATTTCCAGTGCTTCAGTGCTATTTCTTCACTCCTTCCCCAGCACCTACCCACTGATGCCCATCGATTGCTTCCCAACTCCTGATTAATATAAGCACTATGCACATTTAAAAGCAAGGTCAGATTAAAAATAAATGAAAGGTCTTGTACAGATAGGAACACTTCCCACCCCATACCTTCACCTACCCAGGACTCTGAATCTCTGATTACTAGACTATACCTTGCTGGAGAGGAGAATGACTAGTGACTGCTGACCTTCTCGTGTCTTGGTGGAGCAGAGGTAATCACGTGGCTAACTCAAAAGGCCAAACACATTTTGTGATGCTGTTGGCAAAAATAAAAATGAACAGGAGGAGACCAGGTGTGACGGCTCCTGCCTGTAATTCCAACACTTTGGGAAGCTGAGGCAGGAGAATAGCTTGAGCCCAGGAGTTTAAGACCAGCTGTGGGAAACATAGTGAGACCCTATCTTCACAAAAAATATTAAAATAAATAAATTAGCCAGGTATGATGGTGCATGCCTGTAAGTCCCAGCCACTCAAGAGCCTGAGGTAGGAGGATCACTTGGGCCAGGGAAGGACAGAGGCTGCAGTGAGCTCTGATTACACCAGTACACTCCAGCCTGTGCAACGGAGTGAGACCCTGTCTCGAATAAGAACAAAAAAATGAACACAGGCAACAGTGCTGCAGGTTTCCTTACAGCAGTTCTACCTTAGTTCATCTGGACACACAAAAAAGACACATAGAAGACATTTCTACACACTGTGTGCCTGTATGTGTTTGCTATTGCTGCTTTAACAAATTACCATAAATACAGTGGCATAAAACAATACAAATGTATTATCTCACAGTTCTGCAGGCTGGGAGTCCGAAATGAGTCTTACTGGGGAAAAAAAAAAAATCCAAGGCTGTGTTCCTTCTGGAGCCTTCAGGGAAGAGTTTGTTTTCTTGCCTTTTCCATCTGTTAGCGGCTGCTGTATTCCTTGGCTCATGGCCCCTCCACAACTTCAAAGACAGCAACTGCAATTTCCTTCTGACCTCTGCACCTGTTGTCCTATCTCCCTCTCTGACTCCAACTTTCCTATCTGTCTCTTCTACTCAAAAGAACCCTTGTGATTACACTGTGCCCACCCAGCTAATCCAGGATAATCTTCCTAGCTCAAGATCTTTAACTTAATCACATCTGCAAAATTTTATTTGCCACATAAGGTAACATATTCATAGGTTCCATAGATTGGAACATGGACATCTTTGGGGGGCGATTACTCAGCCTACTCTAGTGCCCCACATCTGTGTGTGCTTGGTAGGGAGCCATCCTTCTCTAAGGATACTCCCCTATGGAGCCCTAACAACTCTCAAGTCTTCCTACATAAGGTTGACAAAAGAATTCAAAGAGCTGTCCAGAAATTTGAAATTAACAGATGAAATCAGAACTCTCCAACAAAATTGCTAGGTGTACTTAACAGAATTTCTGCCACAGGCAAGAATCAGTATTATGCTTCACCTGAATATGTGCATCAATTTTTTTATGAGAGACTGTTTTGCACGTTAGGAAAAGCCATATCCTTTAGGGATCCCCATAATCACTGACATATGGTAGTTGAGAAGCGGTTGATGATTCTAATTTTAGTTTTTAAATGATGTTTTTAAAGGTAGAATTTGATGTCTGAAATCCATTGCTAAATTCAATGATCTTACTCTATATGAATCTCAGCAAAGAAACCAGACATCTGTGGTTCCAGAATGAACTCTTTTTTTGATGGGGTTTTTAAAACTCTTGAAATCTCTTTTATCATGTAACAGAATTATAGCCAACATCATTGCAGTAAATATCAAAGACACTGCACTATGGAGAAGCAGGCCTGGCATCACCTGATTGATTGAGTGCTGTTAAATAAAAGCCAGCAACATCTTCCTTGCCACATTGCATTATTAGTTCTCCCCAGCAATGCAGCACTACAGTTAGTGGTAGCTCAGTTGCACGATGGAAGAAACAGGGTTCTAAGAGTAAAGAGACATAGCTAGGTTTCCAACTCAGCACTCTCAGATACCAAAGCTCTCGTTGTTCCCTGTCTTAGTCCATTTGCCATGGCTATAACTGAATACTTGAGGCTGGGTTATTTATAAAGAAAAGAGGTTTATTTGGCTCATGATTCTGGTGGTTGGAAAGTCCAAAATTGGGCAGCTGTATCTGGTGAGGGCCTCAGGCTGCTTCCACTCAGCAGCCGGAAGGGGATCAGGTGTGTGTAGAAATCATGTGCCAAGAGGAAAAGCAAGAGAGAGAAATTGAGGAGCCAGACTCTTCTTAACCATCCTGCTCTTGCAGGAACTAACCTATTCCCAAGACAGTGAGAACTCACTCATCCCCGAGGAAGGGCATTAATCTATTCATAAGAAATCTGTCCTCATGAACCAAACACCACCCACTAGGCCCCAGCTCCCAACGTTACCTCATTGGGAATCAAATTTCAACATGAGTTTTGGGAGGCACGAACTACATCCAAGCCACAGCACTCTTAAACTCTGCCATGTTGTCTTGAGTTGAGTCTCTTTCACCATTCTCCTTGTTTCCATAGTCGTGAGCATGATCCCTGTAAACAGCCAGGGTGACCCTACCCTTAAACACAAAATTCTCCAACTTACCTGGGCCTACCCAGGACTCCTATGAATCACCTTTATTTCCCCTTACCTTGAATAAATGTGTTAATGGGAACTTTGTATTTATTCTTGATCAAATTTAATACAACAGTATATCTAGAATGCTGTTAAAATTTAGGGACTTTGTGTATTACTAGTCCTGTAGATTCTAAAATAGTCTCTTTTAATATCTACCAGGATGTTTCATACATTTGTTTTATTAATTTTATTGAAAATATAACAATATTGACAACTTAGAAAGTATCAAATAAAATTTAGTCTTTATCTCAATATATGTTCAAGACTTTTTGCATGTTTTCTTTTTTTTGTTTTTTTTTTTTGAGACAGTCTTGCTCTGTCGCCCAGGCTGGAGTGCAGTGGCGCAATCTCGGCTCACTGCAAGCTCCGCCTCCCGGGTTCATGCCATTCTCCTGACTCAGCCTCCCGAATAGCTGGGACTACAGGTGCCCACCACCATGCCCGGCTAATGTTTTTTTGTTTTTTTGGTTTTTTTTTTTTTGCATTTTTAGTAGAGACGGGGTTTCACTGTGTTAGCCAGGATGGTCTCAATCTCCTGACCTCGTGATCCACCTGCCTCAGCCTCCCAAAGTGCTGGGATTACAGGCATGAGCCACTGCGCCCGGCCAACTTTTTGCATGTTTTCTTTAAAATTTCTCTACTTTTAATTGTACTTCTAATACAGACACTTCTGAAATCAGTTTTCACATTGCTGCAGCCTTACCAATTTGTAGAAACTGTTTATGTGATGTTTTGATTCTTCATTTATATATTTGCTTCAAATATTTTCCCAACATACCTTTTCAACTTATTTTCTTGTAATGCAGTTTACTATTTTAAAATAACAGTATGTGCTGCTTTGTGAATATTTTTATTACATCAAAACTAAGAAAGACCTTTCAACCTTTTCATCGTTCTAATAAATCAACACATTTATTCTAATTATGATTTGTTTTATATCCAACTCTCTACTCAAGTATATTCCATTTAACTCTCTAATTGGTTTTGACACAAGGTGTGGGCCTAATTCTTTAAGTACTTAACTAGTTATCCCAATGCAATTTTTATATTGTTTGTTAAATAATTTTTGCACTATTGTTTTATATTTTTATATATATTACATAAATTGAAAGCCAGTTGAGAGTTCAATTTATAATAGGACATTCATTTTCTTAAGTGTCTTATTGTGTGTATATATATATATACACACACACACACATGTATACATATATATACACACACATATATACATATATACATGCATTCTAAAAAATGTATCCTTCTCTTTTGTTACTTGACTATGTACTAGAATTTGAATATTGAAATAAATATAAAATTGGTGGTTGACTATATACGTAATTGAATAGTTATTGTTATTTGAATATTTTGTTTATTGTGACTTGAATATAACCAAGATGATCAATCCACTTACAATTCTTCTCTTTCAAAATATTACATGACGTAGAAGCTCATTTTAGCTGACACTTACTATTTGTACAAATATTCCAGAAGTCATTTCTCTGGCTTTTCAGCAGACTATAAAGATTAAAAGTTCAAAAAAAGGTCAGTAAATATAGATATAAATAAAAATAATTAAAATATAATCTAAATTGCCCAGGTTGACTTCAAAATCCTTTTAGTTTTTACATTTCTTTCCCCTTGTCTCATTTTTGTATTCATGGTTAATTTTTTACTTTTGTTTCCCATGTACCTCTTTATAGGTCACCTGTATGTATCTTTTTTTTTTAATATACTTCAAGTTCTGGGGTACATGTACATAACATGCAGGTTTCTTACATAGGTATACATATGCCATGGTGGTTTGCTGCACCCATCAACCCGTCATCTACATTAGGTATTTCTCCTAATGCTATCCCTCCCCTAGCCTCCCACCTCGTGACAGGCCCCAGTGTGTGATGTTCCCTCCCTGTAGGTCACCTGCATCTTTAATGGAACAAAGTCAAAAGCACAAAAGCAAGCACTTTTTCACCACTTAAATGTAGTCTCTTTAATGCATTTTATTTATTTATCTTTTTTCAGTCAATTTAAGAAGTTTATTTGGCCAAAGTTAAGGATGTGTGCCCATGACACAGCCTTAGGAGGTCCTGGTGACATGTGCCCAAGGTGGGGTCAGGGCACAGCTTGGTTTTACACATTTTAGGGAGACACAAGACATCAATCAATATATGTAAGATGAACACGAGTTTAGTCTGGAAAGGCAGGACAACTCAGAGACAAATGGTTGCATGTTTTTGAGTTTCTGATCAGCCTTTCCAAAGGAGGCAATCAGGTATGCATTTATCTCGCTGAGCAGAGGGATAACCGTGAACAGAACAGGAGGCAGGTTTGTCCTAAGTGGCATTGTAAAACTCATTATGGCAACATCTTCTGTGTTTTTCTTTTCACTGGGAAAAGATTACTCTGAGTAAGTGCCACGTGGGAAACAAGAGCGAGAGAGGGCAGAGTGGAGGCCACTGACCAATGCCATGGGCAGGCAGAGGGGGTGTTGGCTTTGAGTAGGCAGGCAGGATGGGGGAGAAAAGGGAAGGAGGCATCTGCTCAGGATTCTTAATGATGAGACCAAAGGACTGGGTGACAGACTGGTTCTGCATCCGAGGGAGAGGAAGGTCATCGAGAATGACTCTGAGGTTACTGGTTTGCGTAACCAGTTAGACAGAAATGGCTTTTGCTGAAACAGTAGAAATGTGCCAGGATATGGGGAGACAAGATCGCAAGTTTCAATTTTGGATGTGTTGAGTCTGAGGTGTTTTTGAGAAAACCAAGAGGAGATGTCAAGAAAGAAGTTGGATTTGTTCTTTCCCCAGCTAAAAGATTAATAGTGAGCGACCTGGTTACACGTTCCACTTTCTCAATATCTCCCTGCAGGCAAATTATAAAACTGTACAGTTGAGCCAGACTAGTTTTGAGTACGCCATCACATACCACGCTGCTTGGAACCGAATCCACAACCTGCATGAGACTTTAATCAAAGCTTTTGTCAAGTTTTATACAGGAAGAAAAGATGTTTAGCGATTTGAGTCACTCTGCGATTGTTTTGCAACATGTTATTTGGATTGTAGAATAATATTGTTCAAGAGAGAGTCCAAGTGGGATGGAACAAAATGTCAAGGAGAATGTGTTTTTAGGCATTTCTCTAATGTCAACAGAATACTCATAGTTTTTGTTATGCTAGTTCAAAGCGTGAACCATTTCTATTATTCCAGTTATTCAATATTTTTACAAAAATAGTACATAAGTTGCCATACTGAAGATTTTTAAAAAAGTTTTTAAATATGAAGCTACCCAAAAGTCATGTGAGATTGTTACAGCTGATAAGGCAGAGAGGCAGCTATCTGCCTTATCAGATATGAGAAGACATGAGAATCCAAAGTCATCAGTAAAGATCAGGTAATATACATATTCCTTGATATGTAATTCCAGGACTTGGATTTCACAAGCTCTTATTTGAAACAAATAAAAGCATTTAGTGCTTTATAATCTTTGGAGCTGGGGAGGGTGATCTAGAAACTATAAAGAAAATCTAGAAGAACTAAGATCCATGATTAACTGGTATTTAGAACACTTCTCTACTTTTAAAGTTGACTCAATTCTTCAAAACTTAATTAATATAATTGTACTCAACTGTCTATGAAACTTAGATAAGGTCTATTACATACAAAAGATACTTGCACTTGTATATTTATTGCAGCACTATTCACAATAGCAAAGATATGGAATCAACCTAAGTGTCCATCAATGTATGACTGGATAAACAAAATGTGTGGGGTGTATATATCTACTTACACATGCACACATATACGCACACCAGGGAATACTACCCAACCCTTAAAAAGAATGAAATCATGTCTCTTGCAGTGACATGGATGGAACTGGAGGCCATTGTCTTAAGTGAAATAACTCAGAAACAGAAAGTCAAATACTAAGTGGGAGCTAAACAGTGTGTACGCATGGACCCATAAAGTGGAATAATAGACACTGGAGACTCGGAAAGGTGGGAGGGAGGTTAGGGATGAGAAATGACCTAACTGGTATAATGCACGCTATTCGGGGGATGGTTACACTAAAAGCCTAGACTTGCCCACTACACAATATATCCGTGTAACAAAACTGTACTTGTACCTGCTAAATATATAAAAATAAAAAAATTAAAAATAAATAAACTTAGTCAAGGAGTCTTTTGTTCAACACTTTAAGCAAAGCCCCATTTAGTCCTGGTGGCCACTAGATGGCAAACTTTGCTAAAGAATACTGCCCCCACTGAAAAGATTTTTGCAAGATTCAAATCTTCCTGAAAGCATTTGGGTTCCAGCTGCCATCAAATCTTAAAACACTCCTTCAGGGTTCACATCGCCTCTGTAATTAAAAAGCAAATTCGTGACTTCACAATTGTAGGAGTTTAGAAATAATCGAATCAGGTCTTTTTTCATTTTCTGGAAACTGAAGCCAAAAATAGTTGAATGGTTTACGGTTGTGTTAGTTAAAGGCAGAGATGGGCTCCCACTCAGGCCTCCAGCATCTTCCTGTAGTAATTTTCCACATTGTTTTTTAAAACTGTAGCACTGTTATAATTACTATTATCTGAATGAAGCTACTCTGGCAAATAAGAAGTCATTCTTAGAGTGATCACGAAGAAATTTTGAATCACTACAATCCCATACTCCTTGGCAGTCAACTCATTCATGTTATACTATTTAAAGCAACTTAGAAGCTCAAAAGATTTAAAATAATCCTTTAAGAATGTGTAGCAAGTAGTCCCTTATGTTGGATTGAGATTTTTCCTTATTTTTAGGTTCACATTGGATGGAAAACATATTAATCAGAAATGATTTGGAAAATCATTAATCATATAATGAGAAAAATGAAAAGAATGAAGTGTGTTTCTGATAAGAAAATAAGAATTGGAAAATGGAACCAAGGTAAATCTCAAAACGATGGCTTTCATCAGTACAGAATCAGGGCACGCGAGTAAGGCAACCTTGGAATACTTGCTATCAAAAGCTTTGGTTTTATTAAGAGAGGACCAGGCTAGAACTGGAAGAGTTTCACAAAACAGTGCCAAGAATTTGCAAAACAAAACAGACTTTAATCATGGTTTGGATTCGAGTACATTATATGCCAATCATAAGGTTATGTCTGGGGTGGACATGGGGAGTTATAAAACCACATGCCAAATGCAAGCGGGAGAGATGTTTCAGAAAAGAGCCTTCATAGTTCCCATCCTAAAGTCAGTCTACATCTGGCCCAACCTTCCATCTGGAAGAACTCTAGAGAGCAAGACAACATGAGGTCCAAACTAGGATATGCTCCACGCTACAGAGAGAGAGTGGGGAGCAGAATGAGTGAGGCTATGGGAGCCTTTACAATCCTTCAGCCATGAAACCCTCAGTGAACAAAGTCCAGCCTTGTTAGCATAGCAAAAGATCCCCTGTCTGGGCTAATTCCTGCCTACCTTTCTACCATCATTCCAGAACACAACTCAACTCCATCTATGGTATATTGCGGTACACTGGTGCATACCATTACCCCTGTTGGGTATATCACACTGAATCAAAGCTGCTTTCTGAACAGCTCTTGTCCTTCTCTAGCCCCTATCTCTTCCTGTCTTTGTTGATGCACCTGAAGAACCATTCCAACGTCAAGATCAAGTTCAAATGATACCATCTGCATTTGTTTCCTGGGGCTGCCACAGCTATGCACCATAGGATAGGTGGCTGAAAGCAATGGAAATACACTCTCTCCAGTTCTGGAGGCTAGACATTCAAAATCAAGGTGTTGGCAAGGCCATGCCATTTCTGAGGCTCTAGGGGAGAACTTGTTCTACACCATTCTCTTAGCCTCTGAGGTTGCCAGCAGTCCTTGACATTCCTTGGCTTGTAGATGCATCTGCCCCATCTCTGCCTCCACCTTTGGATGACCATCTTTTCTCTCTGTGTATCTGTGTCTTGGTTTTCTCTTCTTATAAGGACATCATCAGTCATACTGGATTTGAGGCAACCCTAATTGAGTAAAATCTAATCTTAATTTGATGATATCTTTAAAACCTCTTTATTTCTAAATAAGATTACATTCATAAGTACTGGGGATTATGACCTCAACATACTTTCTGGGGGAACACAATTCAACCCAGAACACCACCTTTTTCTATTCCTACTCCAGACCCCAAGAGTAGGTTGCTACCTCTATGCATTTACCCTACAATAACACTGACCACATTGGAGGCAATTGCAATGCACTCACCCTTTCGCCTTTGAGATCCCTGGGTAAGCAGAGCCTCTTTCTTTCTATTTTCCATGTTTGCACTTGCCTTGCTTGGCACTTCGCCTGGTGCATAGTACTACAGGCCCATGAATGAACATAATTCTCTGCAGTTTAATTCTGGAATATCCCCAGCTTCCTAGCATATTCCCTATAGATAAGCCAGGATGTCAGATTGAAACAGTCCCCCAAAGGAGATCCTTAGCCGAGAGGAGGCTCAGACTGCAAAGTTCTGAATAAGAAAGGGTGGGGGTAGGGAGATCCACACTTGGATCACTGATGCAAGCATTTCCAAGGTTACCGATGGCTTCAGGGAGTGGCAGGTAGGGGTAAATGGCAGGTAGATTATGAGGCAGAGACTGTCATTTTGGGGGAACTACTTTTTTTAATAACACAAACACATGTCTTCTGGTATGATATGTCTATTTGGCAATAGCTTGATCTCAAACCAGTAAGTTTCATTCTCTTTCTCCACTTTGGCTAATACCAACAATTGGCATTTAAGTTTCTGCAGAAGGTGGCCCCTTGCTCTTGGGGGGCCTACTGAGGGGCTCTGGAAATACAACTAAGATAAGATTGTCCAAGACATGTAATGGGAAGCTGTAGGCACCTGCAGAATTTCCTTCTTTTTCTCTCTACCTCACCTGTTTTTTATGGATTTGTGATCTCCCATCAATACAGAGATGTCCATACTGTGGGCTTGCGCCCTTTCCTGCCATTTTGGAGACTAGGTGGTACTGTAGCAGCCGATCGTGCCTCTGTGTTTGGTTTTAACCAATGGCGAATGTCTCTGCTTGTAAGTAGACAGAGTGACAGAACGGCATCAGCCAGGTGTGGGGTCCTAATCAGGCTGCAGTCACACTGGAGCCACAGGATCAGAAGTCCTGTTTATTAGTCTGTTCTCACACTGCTAGAAAGAAATACCTGAGACTGGCTAATTTATAAAGGAAAGAGGTTTAATTGGCTCACGGTTCCACAGGCTGTACAGGAAACATGGATGAATATGCCTCAGGAAATTTACAATCATGGCAGAAGGGAAAACAGCCATGTTACATGGCTGGAGCAAGAGGAAGAGAGTTTAAGGGGAGGTGCCACTCACTTTTAAACAACCAGGTCTTGTGAGAAATCACTCACTCACTATCATGAGAACAGCAAGGGGGAAATCTGCCCCTACGATCTAATCCCATCCCACCAGCCCCCTCCTCCAACATGGGGATTACAATCCCACATGAGATTTGGGTGGGGACACAAATCCAAACCATACCTCCGTGGCTGCTGTAATATCTAACCAACCAAAACCTCATTGCCCCTCTTCCTCATACAGTCAAAGCTCTAGGGCAGCTCTGAGGCAGAGCCAAGACCAGTCAGTTTGCTCCAACCGACTTGCCTTTGGCTGTTGGCAGACAGAGAGCAGCAGCAGCCCCGAGCCTGAACAGCAACTACTCTCAACCACTTTGTACCACGTCCTTTTCATTTAACCAAACAGACCCCTTCTGTCTCTTGGAAAAGGAAACTGTGTTGTTTTATTATTATTATTGCTAAATATACATAACCTACAATGTACCACTTTAACTATCTTTTTAATTTAAAAAATTTAGAGACAGGGTCTTGCTTTGTCTCCCAGGCTGGAGTGCAGTGGTGTGATCATAGCTCACTGCAGCCTTAACCTTCTAGGATCAAGGGATCCTCCTGCCTCAGCCTCCTGAGTAGCTGAGACTACAAGCATGCACTGCTGTGCCTGGCTAATTTTTTTAGATTATTTTTTATAGGGACTGGGTCTTGCTACATTGCCCAGGCTGGTTCTGAATGCCCAGTCTCCAGCGATCCTCCTGCCCCAGCCTCCCAAAGTGCTGGGATTACAGGCATAAGCCACTGCGCCCAGCTCCTTTTAACTGTTTTTTTTTTTTTTTTTGAGACAGAGTCTCGCTCTGTCGCCCAGGCTGGAGTGCAGTGGCGTGATCCCGGCTCACTGCAAGCTCCGCCTCCCGGGTTCATGCCATTCTCCTGCCTCAGCCTCCTGAGTAGCTGGGACTACAGGCGCCCGCCACCACACCTGGCTAATTTTTTATATTTTTAGTAGAGACGGGGTTTCACCGTGTTAGCCAGGATGGTCTCGATCTCCTGACCTCGTGATCTGCCCGCCTCAGCCTCCCAAAGTGCTGGGATTACAGGCGTGAGTCACCGCGCCCGGCCCTTTTAACTATTTTTAAGTGTGCAGCTCAGTGGCATTAAGTGCATTCACATCATAGTGCAATCATCACCACCATCCATCTCCAGGACTTTTCAGCATCCCAAACTGAACTCCGTACTCATGGAACAATCATTCATCTTCCTCCGTTCTCTCCATTCCCTGGGAACCACCATTCTACCTTCTATTTCTACGTATTTGTCTTCTCTACGTACCTCAAGTAAATGGAATCAAGCCATATTTGTCCTTTTTGTGACTGGCTTGTTTCACTTCACATAATGTCTTCATGTGTGAGAAATACCTTCCTAAAGCTGAAAATTATTCCATGTATGTACAGACCACGATTTGCTCATCTTTCATTTGCTGATGGACAGTTGGGTTGCCTCCATCTTTTTGGCTATTGTGAATAATGCTGCTAGGTTATGGCTGTACAAATCTCTCTCTCGGTCCCTGCTTTCAGTTCTCTTGGGTGTATACCCAAAAGTGGAATTGCTGATCACATGGTAATTTTATGCTTAATATGCTGAGGAACTGCCATACTGTTTTCTGCAGTGGCTACATCTTTTTCCATTCCTACCAAAACTGCTTTCTCTATTCTCATTTTAAGATATCTTAAATAAGAAAAGTGACCCAGACACCTCCATTCAGCACAAAGCACATCAGAGACGAAGACCCCAGCCATGTTCCCCGACAGCCTCGGACCAAGGTGGAAGAGCCTGTGTCTCCCCTAGTGAGAGAACGTGTCTCAGTCATGAACCAGCCTCTAACGCCAGGACATAACCTTGCAGCTGCTGGCCCACTGCCCAGCCCTGCCTGTCCCAGTATCTGGTATGTCTAAGTACCATCAGGAACTGGAATTGCTGGTCTCCTTTATTGGATTGCAGTCTTAGGTTTGCAACAGTAGGGGACGCCTATGCTCTGAGCAGGAACATACTGGAGATTTGAGGGATTTCAGTTGACTGAGCACTCAGTGACCGTGACCTTTCTCTACACGGCTCAGACACTGGCTGACCCTCCTAAAAGAGGCTATTCGTGTGTTGATAAATAAGCTCTTGGGAGCGGGGATCTTATTTTTTATTCTTTTGTGCCCCACACTACCTAGCCTAGTACTTTATTCACACTCAGCGGGAGCTTGAAAGATGCCTGCTGATAAAAGTTCAGACAGACAATGCACCCAGCACAATACCTACCTACTAGCACTCAATATTCAATATTTGCTTGGCTCTTCGAACAACAAAGATGTTCAAAGTGCTGATGTGATTTGCTTCAATTCACAGCTTTGGCAGAGCTTGCGATCAAACCCCAATCTGTAATTCTCAGCGCAGTACCTAGTTTTTAAAAAATAAGAACATCATTCTTTTTTTTTTAACCTAACAAAAAGAAACCTAGCTAGCAGAGCAATAGAGAGAGAGAGAAAAAAAGATGTTTCCACTAGAGACTAGCTCCCAAGTCTCAAGTGCTTACAAATTTTGGAAGTGATAAAAAAAAATTACCAGTTAAGGTCACTAAACATAGAAAAGTGGCAATATGGCTCGTGGCTGGAGAGAGGAGACTTAAGTGTCCCATCCTCAAGCATAAACTGTAGAGCAGCAGGAAGCTCCCTTGTGTGACGTCAGTGTCCTCTGGGATGACAGTAAATCTTGAGACAGGTGAGCTGATGCTAATATGATACCTGGACTTATCTGCCGCCCTGTCCTAGACTCTCATCAATTTCAAGGCAGAAGTATGTGTGAGGAATACATCTATGTTTTTTCTCAAGCTCTCTAAACTATTTATTTATTTGAGACAGGGTCTTGCCCTGTCACCCAGGCTGGAGTGCAGTGGTGCGATCATGGTTCACTGCAGCCTTGACCTTCTGAGCTCGAGATCCTCCCGCTTCAGCCTCCAAAGTAGCTGGGATTACAGGTGTGTGCCACCACACCCGGCTAATTTTTTGTACTTTTTGTAGAGTTGGGGTTTTTCCATGTTGCTGAGGCTGGTCTTGAAAGATGGCTCAAGCCATCTGCCTGTCTAGGCTTCCCAGAATGCCGGGATTACAGGCATGAGCCACTGCACCCAGCCTCTCTAAGCTATTCAAAAGATACTGGGATATTTGGACTTATGCTTGTAACGAATACACAAAAAAGAATTTTAAAAAACTGTTTCCAAAAATTGCAATAGCAATGGAAACAACAGTTCATATCTTTTATGATAGCAAATTTTACGCACAGCTGACATAACGTGGCTCAGCTATGCAACCTGATAACTCAAACTTACTCTAAGGTCACTAGTTAAAGGAAGAGATTAGTATCATTCTGACCCCCAAAAAGCATATTTTTAAAGAGCCACAGACAATTCAATCAACTTTCTCACTGTATTAAACACTGCAAACCATGAATTTGAGATTTCAATTATTCCTTTCCTATACCTTTCTTACCTGTCAAGAAGGCTACACGGTTAAACCTCTGGTTCACGGTTAAACCTGTGACCTGTGGAGCCCGGTCTGTGCTCAGATCTTGGATGAGTAACTGTGAACAAATTACTTGGCTTCTTTCTGTTCCTAAGTTCACTCTTCTGCAAAATGCTAATGATAATAATAATAATAATTAATGATCTAGTGAATAGATTGGTCATGAGAATTAAATGAGTGATTACATATAAAGTGCCATGGACACTGTTAGAAATATTATTATATCTTCTTTCCTTAAGGCAAATTCTTCTCACTATGGTTTTAAATATTTCCTCCAATGATCAACCCCAAAAGAAAAACAAATCAGAAAGTATGTATCATTGTTACCTTCAGAAGAGAACTAAGAATGTTTCACATAAATACCTTTGTGGTCATTTTTATGTGCTTGGGGAAGGAAAATAAAAGCAATAAAGGACAATTTCCAAAAGAAGGTGTTAGTACATTTTGCATGGAGGTCTGGAGCATTCCAAATATGTATTTATACAGATTTTATCACAATCACTGCTAAGAGTTGTACAAAAGAAAAGAAATACTTCTTGTTGCTTACAAAGGGGTTTCAGCAGGGGAGTGATGAGGGCTGAAACTACTTTGAGACATACACAGTGAACAATGAGTCTTGAATAAAAGAGCAATTAGAACTCTCAGAGAGACTCAGGGAGCAAACAAGAATCTGATTTAGAACTTAAGTCTTCAGCATGCTTTACCCCTGAATCACATAGATCCAGGACAGCAAGTTTCTATTTTAAAGGTACAGCTGTCAATCAATCACTTACCGTACTGTCAAGTTTCTATAAGGCGCCATTTTATGTGCCAGTGAAGGTTCAATGGATAAGAAACAGGTGATAACAATAAGCCACATTCTCTAAAAGAGATTGCAGTCTAATTGGGAAGAGGATTCAAATACATAAAGAGATACACAAGACATAAGGATTTGAACATGGCGTGGCATGGTGGCTCATGCCTGTAATCCCAGCACTTTGGGAGGCCGAGGCAGGTGGATCACCTGAGGTCAAGAGTTTGAGACCAGCCTGGCCAACATGGCGAAACCCCATCTCTACTAAAAATACAAAAAGTTTAGCTGGGTGTGGTGGCGCCTGCCTGTAATCCCAGCTACTTGGGAGGCTGAGGCAGGAGAATCACTTGAACCTGGGAGGTGGAGGTTGCAGTGAGCCGAGATCGGGCCACTGCACTCTAGCCTGGGCAACAGAGCAAAACGCTGTCTCAAAAAAGAAGAAGAAGAAAAAAGAGTTGAACATGATACCACAAGCCATGCATTATGGCAACCAAAGGCCTAAGATGTAGGGCAATACTTTTTAGTTTGCATGTGGACCATTCCTAGCCAGGGCTACTTCTTTCTGTACATGCTATTAGAATACACAAAACACTGAGACGCATCCTTTCGTTTCAGCCTACTAACCTTCCTTCTCTCCTCCCCTAACTGACACAAGCTGCAAAATATGCACATTGCCATTGAGAAATTTCTGGGTTTTTCTTTTTGTCTGGAAAGAATTTATGGTTCATTTTAATCCCTTCTTGTATAGAAGTATTAACTAGAAGCTACCAAAAAAAAAAAAGCTACAAAAAATGATCTCCTTCTTATGGTCAGTTTCACCTCATGTGGGACTTGAAATGATCATTTATCATTTACATTAAAGAAATAAAATACGTCTCCCCATTTAGTAAGAGGTGAGGACTTTTGGTGACATGATCTTTAATATTCTTAATACTCTGTCTGATTTCTAAATGTCTATGATTCTTTAAGAATGACATATTTTACTTCAGTAATCATTTATAGATTTTTCCAAGAGAAAACTCGTGTTTTTCTCACCTTCCTTTCATTCTTGTTCCTTATTCCTATTTAGTACCACATATCTTGAGGTTTTTAAATCTCAAGGAACTGCCTTATAACAACACATACTGTACATGCATGCTGTTAGATGCCTTTATTTTCTGGGACTAGTTCCAATCATACCATGGTCTATAAACTTTTCCCCATATGAATTTATATTCATGTGTTTAATAACAGTACAAAAAAAAGATCGAGGGAACAGGCAACTTGAGTGTGAAAGAAGAAGTTTTCTGTAGAAGAGAGGGTTCATTCTTCTTGCTTTTATTTTCTAACAACAAGGAAAGTTCATTGCTGCAGAAATGTATGCTGTTGATTTGATTTATTTCTGACATTTCTATTACTTTTTCTTCTAACAATTCTATCTTGGAGAACAAGGGAGTTGGGGATGCTCTCTCTGTCTCCCTCATTCTAATGAGTTAGCCCTTTTGAACCAACTATGTAAAATATGATGTCAATAATTTCCTATGTTAGGTACAGATGATGCTGTAATATTCATGGAATGCAATCAGTGAACTAAGAATTGGTCACTGAGTGATTCAGATCAAAATAATTGCTGTCACCAGGATTCATGAGGCTGACTTATGGAGGAATAAATCACAAGATTTCTCTATGCTTGCTGTTTTGAAAGTGGGTGTCGAGTTTCGATACTAAAGGTTGCATGGCATATTCCAGTTTCTCCAAATGGTAGGAGTAATGCCATATGTAATTTTACCGTAGTACATCTTAATTTGAATCTATTTAACTACATAAAAATTACCATAAACATCCTTCTAAAAAGGGCTCTAACATCATAGCTATAATACTTCATTGACAAACATAACTATAAACCAACCTATAAATATATGAATCTATAGCTAAAAATTAGGACTGTTTACCATAGAAGAGTGTTTTCTTTTGATTTAACAAATATGATACCTACTAAAGAACTGTCCTTTTAAAAAGCCTGTCATTTTGTTAATATTTTAATACATTTTTCATGCTGCTAAATATTTTAAGGATTATCATAAAAATATAAATACATTCCTTAAATGATTTTCATATCTTACCAAGCAAAATTGAAAAAAGTTTAAAAGTGCATTTTCTATTTGCTTTGTACAGTGCTACTTTGAACTATTTAACTCCATGAACTTTAAAATCCCACATTAAATTTGGCTGGGTACATATCTGTGGTCTAATAAGACTAATTTTAGATCTCTGCTATTTTCCCAAGCAGAAATACAACTAAAGTTTTGAACTTCTGCCTCAACCCCTCAATATGGGAATAACGATTCTTGTTTTATAAGAATAAATAAAATCATGTAATTGAAATTATGGATTTAGTCTTCAGATTGCCAACATGCTGATCTCCTTTCCTTAATTAATATTCTAATATTATGCATACTAATAAATAATACTAATTTCTCACACTAATTACACTATCATTACTTACATGACCAAATAAGAAACACAGTTCAGATAGTTTATCTTGCTTGTGTATATATTTGCTGTAACAATGCTTTTTAGAACTGCAAAGAAATCCATTAAGAGAGCCGGATGCGGTGGCTCATGCCTGTAATCCCACCACTTTGTGAGGCTGAGGCAGGTGGATCACTTGAGGTCAGGAGTTCGAGACCAGCTTGGCCCACGTGGTGAAACCCCATCTCTACTAAAAATACAAAAATAATTAGCCAGGCATGGTGGCACATGCTTGTAATCCCAGCTACTTGGGAGGCTGAGGCAGGAGAATCCTTGAACCCAGGAGGCAGAGGCTGCAGCGAGCTGGGATCGCACCATTGCACTCCAACCTGGGTGACAAGAGTGAAACTCTGTCTCAAAAGAAAAAAAAAATCCATTAAGAGGGAAGAGGGTAAAAACGAGCCACTCACAACAAAACTGACACAGGCTGTCTCTGCAAGTCATTGAGTGATATCTGTCCCATGTGTTCTTCCAACTGTCCTACCGACACTAACTTGTACAAGATCACACATCCAGGACGTGAAAGACCTGGATTCAAATACAGGAGGTTGTCTTTTGAGGATACATCCTTCACTATTCTTTCATGTCTGGTAAGACTAATAAGATGCTTTCCATCTTTGCCTAAAAACAATGTATTATGTTTTTTCTTTTCTTTTTTTTTTTCTTTTTTTTTTTTTTTTGAGGTAGAGTTTTGCTCTTGTTGCTCAGGCTGGAGTGCAATGTCGCCATCTCGGCTCACCGCAACCTCTGCCTTCCAAGTTCAAGCGATTGTTCTCCTGCCTCAGCCTCCCAAGTAGCTGGGATTACAGGCATGTGCCACCACATCCGGCTAACTTTGAATTTATTTTTTTTAGTAGAGACAAGGTTTCACCATGTTGACCACGCTGGTCTCGAACTCCTGGCCTTAGGTGATTCACCCGCCTTGGCCTCCCTAAGTGCTAGGATTACAAGGCGTGAGTCACCGCGTCCGGCCTATTTTTCTTTTTCCCCCCAAATGAACCATCAACTAACCCAACCTTTTGAGGGTGAGGTTTTCATTTGTACACCAAAAGACACTCTGTGGAAAAGGCTGTCCCCTACCCTGAAAGAATGTAAAAATGTTGACTGCAAATTTTTTTTTCCTCCTTTCAGAGCATGCACTGAAGACAGCACTAGCATCTTCTCACTCTCTCAATCATCAAATTTATGATGTTGGAGTGGAGACAAAAGTGACTCTATCTTGGATGTTAATTCACCATGTTGACTTCTGATGAGCCCCAGTCCAATAAATGCCTTTTGATTCCTACTTTATTTACTGTCTCTTGTATGACAACATGTCAACCTTAACGTCACTGCACAAATTATAGGCGGTGAGGCACGCAGCATACTTGTCTATTCTGGAGGGTGCCTTTAATCACCTTGCTGGAGCGCATACTCCCTTTCCCTATGGTAGATAAGCGCTGGGTCTGGAAAGTAACAGCGCAGAGATCTGCCTGTCTTGCGGCCGCCCAAGACCACCTTTCTGTTGTTAAGTTCCCTCAATAAATCACCCAGTTCCAACAAACTGTCTCTTTGATTTCTCAGCTCCTTTGGCATTTGGGTTTGCTTTGCCTTTATGTGCCTTTCATGGAACACTACTGAATTGAAATAACGTTAGTACCCCCATCTCTGCGCTTTCCTCCTCCTTCCATCCATCAGTTCATTCCGAGCTGGGGTATTTTTTTTCTCCTATCTCTCTTTGACTGCATACCCTCTGACATGGAAGCCTCCAGAGCCTCCAGCCACTCCCCAGCCCACACCAAATCCTCCCCCTGGCCATCCAGCAACCAGGGGCCCCAAATCTGCGCTTCTGGATCACAGCTATGCCTGTGCTTCTGCTCCTCCTCTCGGTACAGAAGGCACTGCCCCTTCTCCTTCTTTTGCTTTGATCTGATGCACTCACCAAGACCCAGTTTGCTGACCTCCCTTCTGAGAAGTGCTACTGACCCCATTACGATATTCGACATAAAATTCTTCCTATCATTTCAGAAAACGTGTTGTTTTATCATTATGGTCTTTTCAGAAGGGAGATTTCTTTTTCTGCCTCTAATGTGGGCTGCTAATGTCATCCTCAGAGCTATGGGTGAAGAAATAGTCTCATTTAAGTGGCCATTCTCCTTGATTTGAAAGTGCAGCTAAATAACCCTCGCTCCCTCCTCCCCCACTTTTTTTCCATATTCCCAGGCTGGATAGTAGCAACATCTGAAAGAGACACCAATAACCGCAGACCTGTACAGTGTGGCAAAACTGGGAGTTAAAAGACAGGAGTTAAAATCCTGGCTGTATTCTGCCTGTGTCTTGGGGTGGTTTGATATTTCCTGGCTTACTTCTTTCCTGTGGTTTCTGGGTAAGATTTAAATGAGATTATACCTGCAAAAACTGTTTGTAAACCATTAAACAGTATACAAATGTAAGACAGAATAGACATTCAATTGATATTGATTGAGTTAATTCATTAGTGATCATACGGCCACACGCTCATGAATCTCAAGAAGTGCCGGCAGATCGTAGAAGCAACAAACAGGAAGATCAGGTTTTAAATCCCCATCTCTGCCTCTTACTGGCTGTGTAGCCTGGGGTCATACCAAATGAAGGAACCACAGCAGGGGACTGGTTTATAAGGAGCATTAAAACATCACTAGGGTAATTTGGGAAAAGGAATAGTTAACTCAGATCTCACTGTAACTCTTACAAAGCTAACAAAATGCATTATGGATCCAGCTTCTGCTGAAGTAGCCGATGCCAGTCAATAGAAACTTAAAACCATCCGTCTGGGGGCGGTGGCTCACACCTGTAATCCCAGTACTCTGGGAGGCTGAGGTGAATGGATCACTTGAGCTCAGGAGTTCGAAATTAGCCTGGGCAACATGGCAAAACCTCTTCGCTACCAAAAATACAAAAATTAGCCAGGCATGGTGGCACACACCTGTAGTCCCAGCTACCAGGGAGGATGAGGTGGGAGGATCACTTCAGCCCAGGAGGCGGAGGTTGCAGTAAGCCTAGATCACACCACAGCACTCCAGCCCGGGCTACACAGCAAGACCCTGTCTCAAGAAAAAAAAAAAGAAAAGAAAAGAAAAGAAAATTAAAAAAAAGCATCTCTCATCATGCTAGCCTGCCCTCCACTAAGAACATGTCTTTAATATTTGAAAATTAGGCCAGGTCCAGTGCTTCACACCTGTAATCCCAGTGCTTTGGAAGGCTGAGGCAGGAGGATCACTTAAGCCCAGGAGCTGGAGACCAGCCTGAGCAACATAGTGGGACCCCATTTCTACAAAAATTTAAAAACTTATCCAGGTGTGATGGTGCACATCTGTAGTTCCAGCTACTAGGGTGACTGAGGTGGGAAGATCATTAGAGCCCGGGAGGTGGAGGTTGCCGTGAGCTATGATGGCACCACTGCACTCTAGCCTGGGTGACAGAGGGAGACCCTGCCAAAAAGATGAAAGAAAGGAAAAGAAAGAAAGGAAGGAAGGAAGAAACGACGGAAGAAAGGAAGGAAGGAAGGAAGGAAGGAGCGAGGGAGGGAGGGAGGGAGGGAAAAGAAAGAAAAGAAAGAAAAAGAAAAGAAAAGAGAGAGAGAAAATTATTTGAATGAAGACTAACACAGAGCCTGCCTGTGGTGTCACGAATCCTGGTTCAGTCCTGGACCCAGGCCATATTTCTTAAACCCTCAGTTTCTTACATTGTAAAATGGGGCATCTAATATTTATCATGAAAGGCTGTTGTAATATTTTGAGGTGACCTACGAAAAGTTTGCATCAAGTAGGGACTTAATAAACTGGAAGTGAGTGGTGTGGTTTTTAAGCTGCTTAGCCCTGTCTCTCCAGGCTTTACCCTCCCCCATCCCCCATCCTCTGCCAGGGATTTTGTAATATCTGATATTAAAAAGGTTCTGCCGACTCCTCCCAGCTCAACAGAACATGGAAAAATACAATAGATCACTTTAAAAAAAAAAAGCTTATTATGTGCAGCCAAAAGCCTGAGAAACAGCAGGTCACATAAAATGAAGGAAATGAAATGTCCATGCTAAGTAATTATGTAGCCTTGGCCTTGAGCAAACAGAGGGCTGGCTGACATCAGAAAAGAACAAGGGCCATAGAGAGCGAAACACGCGGACACCTTGGTGTCCACACTAGGCTCATCCTGAAAAAGGGAGTGGAAATTGACAGGCTGAGGTATAGATGAATGTGCCTGTCAGGATGTAGCAGGGAGGAGGCGGAGCTTAGGCCACCTTAAGGGAGGACTGAGGCCCTTTAACCTGTTTCTGCTCCTGCAATCTGGAGATGGCATGACTTCGATTTGGCTCGGCAGGCCGTAAAAGCCCGCAGTAAAGTTATTACCTTGAAAGAGTGATTCTATATTGGACTGAACTCCCACAAACGCTGGGCTGGTCATGGTTGTGGGACGTAGGCCTTCTGTTCCCAAGCATAACCTCCTACTCTCTGACACAGGAGACTAGGGGGCCCAGGTTCTCATCCAGGTTCTATCAGAACGAGCTTCTTAACCTGATCCAAGTTGCTAACTAACTTGGGGTAAAATGAGAATATGAGCATCTGTCCCAACCCTTCGTGGGTTAGAGAAAGAAATTCTTTGGAAAGTATAAAGTAGCTACAAAATGAGGAACTTTAAGGAGCCGGGTAATTTTCTTCAATAAAATGGATTTCCTTTAATTTTGTATGAAACTCACTTCCCAAAATCGATTTCATATCAGCTGAGCTTTGAGACTACAAAGAAATTGGAATTTTTTTTTTTTTGAAGGGAGAAGTTGAAAGAGGGAGGGAAGAGGAGGGAGAAGGCACACGGAAGGTAGGTCTTAATCATATTTAAGCCTGATAAAAAGGAGTTAGAAAGTTTGCTGTGTTTAAAGCAGTTGTTCATAGTCCTAGAAACCATTCTAGCCAAAAAAGACAAGAAACAGCAGAGACTTTCGCTAAGAGGTTTAGGAAAAGCAAACATTGCAAAAGAGTAATATTTTATTTTATATCTAATTTGTCCTTATTACTCATCTCTAGGGCCACCTAAAAGCAGTCCTTATCAAACTAAACCTCATTAATTCTAGATATGAAAATGAGTCCACTTTTCCCAGGACAAAAAAAAAAAATAGACCCCTTAGTTTAAGATGCAGTGATATGTTAGTAGAAGGGGTAGGCTGCCTATTATCTATTTTTCTGTACATATTTCACTAGATGGAAGAGTTCCCATTTTCTAAGAGCCTAGCAGTTTCTGTTTTATTGGGGGGAAAAGCAACACAAAGGGAAAATTTAAAAATAAAATTTCTGCAATAGGATTCTGTCTCTGAAATTGAAGACAAAAATTCTCCTTAATATTATTACAGCTTTATTTTTAAAAACTAAAAAGGAAATTAAAATATTAATAGTGGTTGTATCTGGTGATGAAAGAAAAAGACTGTAGTACTTTTAAATGTTTTGTTAGTTACCATATAATAGTTTATACTGAAAAATTTCATTTTTAAATAAAGAAAAAAATGTTTCCTAATGTAAAAAGAAGGGAACATAGGAGCATTCTGTTTTATGTGCTTTTCTGCATAAGTATTAAAAACTACTACATTTTTACTATAACGATTGCTCCTGAAAATCGTGTAAAATACATTAAATAATCAATAATTATTCATGGAACAAGAGGAATGTATTAGTAGTGTAATACTCTTTTGCTTTCACAAAAATTAAATATGCTAAATGAAATTTCATTTATTCATTCAACAAACATTGGCTGGATGTATATTACTGACTAGCCTCTTTAATGACATTCTCTTCTGCAGTGCTGTGGAGTTGTAATTATTTATGCCAATTATTAATATTCAGTATTACATATATAGAAGGTGTTGGATATATGATTTAATAGTTCATATTTGAAGACCAGATATGTAGGGATTAAGCAAAAGGCATCAAAATCAAACAAATCTTTCTGAAGCAAAATTAGCAATGCTCAAAATCCTATTTAAATGGCTCATCTGTGTGTGTGTCATGCCCATAAATATGCCCATGACTGACAGCAAACCAGAAAGCCTTCTGGAGTTGTGTCAGATGGGATTTTTGAGTCATTTATGTAACACACAGAACACTCAAAGCAACAAAGTTAACAAAGGAATGAAAGCTTACTTTTGAGGCAAGTTTCACATCTTTTATTTTTCTTTTTGAGATGGAGTCTCACTCTGTCGCCCAGGCTGGAGTGCAATGGCGCAATCTCAGCTCACTGCAACCTCCGCCTCCTGGGTTCAAGAAATTCTCCTGCCTCAGCCTCCCAAGTAGCTGGGATTACAGGCGTCCACCACCACGCCCAACTGCTTTTTGTATTTTTAGTAGAGACAGGGTTTTACCATGTTGGCCAGGCTGGTCTTGAACTCCTGAACTCAGACGATCCACTCACCTCGGCCTCCCAAAGTGCTGGGATTACAGGCATTAGCCACTGTGCCTGGCCATTTCACATCTTTTATGCTCAATGTGCTTTTGAATCCAATGCCAGTTTTTGCATGTCATCCATGAATATCTCAGCAGGCATCTCTAAATGATCGGTACTACTTAAATAGAACCTAATAACAAAAGCCATTATCACAAGCAAACAAACAAACAAAAAATAGTAACTCTTTAATATCAGCAAACATCCAGTCTGTGTTCTTATTTCGCAGAGGGTCTCACAGAATTTGTGTGTGTGTGTGTGTGTGTGTATGTGTGTGTGTTTTCAATCATTTGTTTAAATCAGGATCCAAATAAGGTCTAAACATTGCAACTGGTTGCTGGGTCTTATGTTTCTTTCCTCTGCAGATTCCCCATTTCTTCCCATTGTCCCCTTAGCAATGGGGTCATAAAAGAAAACTGGTCATTTGTCCTACAGAATTTCACACAATCTGGGTTCTGCCTCGGCATGTGGTCATTTAACATATTCCAGTGTAGGCTGCTGTTTCAATCTAGAGGTTGGATCGGATTGTGATGTGAATGTGGCAGGACACGTCACAGGTGTATTGTGTACTCCTGCCAGGGATACACACTGCCAGGTTCTTCCTTTCCTTGTAACGTTAGCAACTACTGATATCACTGCCTTTCTTTGGCAAGTTTGCCAGCCAATCTCTAGGACTGCATAATGGTGAAATCCTAATTCTCTGGTCCCTCCTTTGTGTAGTAGATGAAATACTTCTATAAAGAGAAACTACCTCAATACCAATTGGGCCAATGCTACTTTCCAAAAGGAAACACTGCAAGCTTTTGATAAAGACAGAACACAAAATGCCTTCCAAAATTCTGGATTGGTTTCCATGGATAAAAAGAAAACTATACTAGAGGAGAGAAAGATATGATTTTCAAACATTTTACTTCTTTTGCAATGAATTTATAAAGGTCTTTTAAAATGGTTTTCAGTGCTCATGAACACAAAGGTTTTCATTTTTTACTTTTATTTTTTGAGACAGTCTCGCTCTGTTGCCCAGGCTGGAGTGCAGTGGCGCAATCTCAGCTCACTGCAACCTTCACCTCCCAGGTTTAAGCAGTCCTCCCACCCCAGCCTCCCAAGGAGCTGGGACTACAAGCAAGAGGCACCACATCCAGCTAACTTTTGTATTCTTAGTAGAGACAGGGCTTCACCATGTTGGCCAGGCTGGTCTCGAACTCCTGGCCTCAAGTGATCCTCTTGCTTCAGCCTCCCAAAGTGCTGGCATGACCAGCATGAGCCACCATGCCTGGTGCTTTTTTTAAACTGAGACTTGTGAACTATGTAATGAATTCTGAAAGAACAGTAATAGGTCCAGGAATTAGCAGATGTGAGTGTTTGTATGAGTAACAGTCAATTCTGAACTCCCATATTGTTCCATGACACAATCAACAGTACTGCTATTGCCTTTGGAACGAATTTATATAGTCACGCTAGAATGGAAGCAGGTGTCAAGTTTTGAAAATTCTTAAGATTCGAGGAAAAAGATGAATACCTTTCAAAAGAACCTCTTACCAAAGGCATAAAGTGGCCTGGCTGCCCCCTGCCCTTCTCTCCTCCCTCTTCTCTGAGCCTCTCTAACTACAGAAAAGAGCCAGGCAGGCAGAACTGCCCAGCCCCCATCCAGGTTGATTTCTTTAGATCACAAGCATGAGTATTTGTATTTTTCTATAAAAGGGAACCATTCAAACTTCATCCATTTAGGGCCCTCTACATTAGTGGTCCCCAAACTTTTTGGCACCAGAGGCCGGTTTCATGGAAGATAAGTTTCCCACGGACTAGGGGGGATTGTAGGGAATGGTTTTGGGATGAAACTGTTCCACCTCAGATCATCAGACATTAGATTCCCATAAGGAACGCGCAACCTGGATCCCTGACACGTGCAGTTCACAGTAGGGTTTGCACGCTCCTATGAGAATCTGATGCTGCTGCTGATCTAACAGGAGGTGGAGCTCAGGCTGCAATGCTTGCTTGCCAGGCGCTCACCTACTGCTGGGCGGCCTGGTTCCTAACAGACCACAAGCCAGTACTAGTCTGCTGCCTGGGGTTTGGGGGCCTCTGCTCTAGTCTAAAGAAATAAACACAGATAAGGCTGGGTGCGGTGGCTCACACCTGTAAGCCCAGAACTTTGGGAGACTGAGGCAGGCAGATGACTTGAGGTCAGGATTATGAGCCCAGCCTGGCCAACATGGTGAAACCCTGTTAAAAATATATATTAAAAAAAATTAGCTGGGCATGGTGGCAGGTGCCTGTAGTCGTAGCTACTTGGGAGGCTGAGACAGGAGAATCACTTGAATGCAGGAGGGGAGGGTTGCAATGAGCTGAGATCACACCACTGCACTCCAGTCTGGGTGACAGAATAAGATTCTCTCTCTTTCTCTCTCTCTCTCTCTCTCTCTCTCTCTCTCTCTCTCTCTCTATATATATATATATATATATATATATATATACACACACATATATATGTATATATATGTATGTGTGTGTGTGTGTGTGTATATATATATATATATATATATATATATATATATATATATATATTAAAAAATAAAAAAAGGAGAAGAGGAATTAAGATGGAAAGATTTGGCCAGGGGTGGTGGCTCATACCTGTAATCCCAGCATTTTGGGAGGCTTAGGAGGGCAGATCAGTTGAGGTCAGGAGTTCGTGACCAGCCTGGCCAACAGGAAGAAACCCCATCTCTATTAAAAATACAAAAATTAGCCAGGCATGGTGGCGGGCATCTGTCCCAGCTACTCGGGAAGCTTGAGGCGGAGAACTGCTTCAACTCGGGAGGTGGAGGCTGCAGTGAGCTGAGACTGTGCCTCAGCACTTGAGCCTGGGTGACAGAGTGAGACTCTGTCTCAAAAAAAAAAAAAAATGAAAGATTTGCCAGAGAAAAGCCAGAAAGCCAGAGATAAGATGAATAACAGTTGGAAGCTATTGAAGTTGAGGGAATTATAAGTGTAAAAAATGACTAGAATATATAACAGTTGAATTTCCCCAAGTTTTTGTATTCTAAAGGAGGCCCCAATTGGCTGTTTAATCTACAAGTCATGTACAGAGCCAGATGGAAATTACTAATATGTTCCTCTGTGCAAGTCCACTTCTGGTGCTGGACAACTTGTCCCAGGGCTATAGGCATTAACAGGACTACAGTAAAAGGATTAGGAAAAGAATTCTCTAGAACTATATTTAAAAATTAACAATATTTAGTCTTTGGAGGCTGACTTTTCTCAGAAGGTCAAATGTCTTTGCCAGCAGCACATGGAAACTGAATTATCAGGTCATCTGGTTCTCTCCTATTTTTCATCACCAGCTCAAATCACTTCATTCCCCACCCTCAGAGAACAATGACTGCTGAGTCATTTAATATTTGAGGCAAAAAAAGGAACATGTTATAACCAGCAAATCTTTGAAATTCACTTGTGACAAGAATGGAAAAATACCATTCCGAATTCTGGAGGTAGAAGTATTTTTTGTGTCTTTGAGACAGGGTCTTGCTCTGTTGCCCAGGTTGGAATGCAATGGCATGATCATGGTTCACTGGAGCCTCGACCTCCCAGGCTCAAGCAATCCTCCTACTTCAGCCTCTGAAGCAGCCAGGACCACAGGTGCACACCATTACACCTGGCTAATTTTTAAATTTTTTTGTAGAGACAGGGTTTCTCCATGTTGCCCAGGCCGGTCTTAAACTCCTGGGCTCAAGAGATCCTTCTGCTTCAGCCTACCAAAGTGTTGGGATTACAGGCGTGAGCCACTGTGCTTGGCCAGAAGTACTTTTTTTTGAGATGGAGTCTCATTCTGTCACCCAGGCTGGGGTGCAGTGGTATGATCTTGGCTCACTGCAGCTTGTGCCTCCAGAGTTCAAGTGATCCTGCCTCAGCCTCCCAAGTAGCTGGGACTACAGGCACGTGCCACCATGCCTGGCTAAGTTTTTGTACTTTTAGTAGAGACGGGGTTTCACTGTGTTAGCCAGGATGGTCTCAATCTCCTGACCTCATGATCCACCCAAAAGTACTGGGGTTACAGGCATGAGCCACTGTGCCCTGCCCAGAAGTATTTTGAATAGCAGATAAATTTCAGACAGACACATAAGGTACCTACATGCACACACATGCACACACACAGCTAATTGAATGGCAGTGCTACACATACACATTCATACAGATCTCTGGGCCTCCATTTTCTTATCTACAGAATAAAAATGTTATAACCAAGAACATTTAATGTCTCTTGGGATCTAGATTGTGAACAATCTATACTCTTACTATGTCAAATAAATTGTATGGAATTCAGTGATGGCAATCAATAATCTGGAAAACAAATCAGTTCGTCTGTCTGACTTAATCAGTAGGTTGTTTAATTGAATTGATTTGTCAAAATATTATGCTGTCACTCCAGTAAGGACAAAAATACCTTCAGAATTCAGTAAGACCAATTCTCACAAACAATGTACATTTGTTAGAGACTAGTCCAACAAGAAATATTTCTATTAAATTGGTAATGACATGTTAGACTGAAGTGGTCTGCCTCAGGCCTTTGTGATCACAACAGCAGTGTGCACCATCTGTTAGAATTCAGTTCTCCCCCAAACCTTTAGAATGTCCTGCAAAATATAATACAGGGAATGAAGAGCATATCAGTCATGACCCAGTATTATACCGAAGACACAAGGGGCTCTTCCTAGTAGTGTGAAATTCTTACTGAGAAACTAAAGCATGCACCACCATCTCAACCAAGAAAAGGCTACCAAGGGTAACGCAGGGGCAAGCATTTCCTGGGGTGGAGACAGGGTCACAAGACATATTTTAGTGCATGAACTGGCCTGGTTCCCCTTCCCACCTCTCCTCCTTCCCTCTTTCTGCTCCAGCTACACTGGCCTTGGTATATCTGAACACACCAGTCACATGGTCTTTAGGCCTTCGCAATGGCTGTTCTCTCTGCTTGGAATGTTCTCCTAGATAAGCATGTGATTATTTTCTCACATCAAGTTTTGCTCAAATGTCACTCTGTCAGTGAGGACCATCTTGACCTCCCTGCTTAAGATGGAAATACACACTCTGACTTCCCTTATGCTCATCTCCATTTTCTTTTTTTCTATAACATTTATACAATTTTGCCATACTAAACAATTGACTTGTTTATTTTATTTTCCTTTCTTTATTTTGAGATGGAGTCTCACTCTGTCGCCCAGGCTGGAGTACAGCGGCACGATCTTGGCTCACTGCAACCTCTGCCTCCTGGATTCAAGTGATTCTCCTGCCTCAGCCTACCGAGTTACTGGGTCTATAGGCGCACACCACTCTGCCTGGTTAATTTTTGTATTTTCAGGAGAGATGGGGTTTTACCATGTTGGCCAGACTGGTCTCGAACTCCTGACCTCAGGTGATCCACCAGCCTCGGCCTCCCAAAGTGCTGGGATTACAGGTGTGAGCCAGCTTGCACAGCCGACTTATTTATAGTATTTGTTTATAGCTTTATCTACCAACCAAAATGGAAGCCCCATGTGGGAAGGGGATTTCCTGGGGTGCACACAGGGTCCCAAGAAATATTTGCTCACCAATGCATCTCATATGCCTGCCTAGAGCAGAGGTGAAGTAAATATTTATTCAATAAACGTATGAAAAGATAAATGAATAAAAAGGTTCTATTTATATCCTAGAAAGGATCTCTGGGTTATTGCTAGAAAATAGTTCAACTTGACCCAAATAAATGAACTGGTTAAATAAGATACTTATAGCACTTCCATTCTGACCTGGTCTCACATGTAGGTTGTCATTGGTCCTATGACCTGGGCAGAAATGTATAACTCAATGTATTTATTTATGCTTGCTTTTAAGGAATTTTTCATGAGACCTCTGTTTTGGAATTTGGAGAGATTAAGGAATAGCTGAATTTCACATAATGGATTTTTTAAAAGCCATGAGGGGTTATGAGAGAATGGGAAGGAGCCAGCAGATGGCACTCTGGCCTTCCTCTCTCCAGTCTCAATGAACAAGCTTTGCATTTATGTTCTTCTGCACAAGCTATCACTGAAAAACAAAGAAAGAAAAACAAGTGTTTTACAAAAACTAAGTGTCTATAAACCACCGAAATAGAGTCATTCTAGAGCTGTATTACTGCCATATCTAATGAAATCAGGTGTTAAGACTGTTGTACATGCTTACGTGGGATATGTCCACTCATAATAATCACCATGTAGCTTTTTGGTTTGCTTAAGACTAAAGGGGCTCAAGGGATCCACAGAGATGCTCTTCTTTTGATGGACTTTACCAGATAGTGCTTATACTCAAGAATCTCAGAGAAGCATTCAAGACTTAGTTTATTTTTTATTATTTATTATTGCTATTTTTGAGATGGAGTTTTGCTCTTTTTGCCCAGGCTGGAATGCAATGGTGTAATCTTGGCTCACTGCAACCACCACCTCCCAGGTTCAAGCAATTCTCCTGCCTTGGCCTCCCAAGTAGCTAGGATTACAGGTATGCACCAACACATTTGGCTATTTTTTTTTTTTTTTAGTTGAGACGGGGTTTCACCATGTTGGTCAGGCTGGTCTCAAACTCCTGACCTTAGGTGATCCACCCGCCTCGGCCTCTCAAAGTGCTGGGATTACAGGCATGAGCCACCACACCTGGCCTCAAGACTTACTTTAAATTAAAATAACAGGAGAGAATTATAGAATGACAATCACCAAGGATTCTAAAAGTCTACATAACCATAAGCACAATTGTTCACAGAGCATCTAGACCCGATCTCAGTAAGAAACAATGAAAGCACTGACTTGGCACCAACACGAGACTGAAAAACCAGACCACAGGCTTCTCTTAAACATCAACATGGCCTTGGGAGTGGGCAGTGGAGGGACGCGGAAAATTTATAGCCTCCTAAAAAGATCCGTCTGCTTTCTTAAATTCTTCACCTCGCTTATTTCCTTAGTGCTGTGCTCATCAAAAAGCACAAATAAAATACATATTCAGGACATCCCAAGTATAAGAAAAATTATCTGACACAGAGCAGCAAAGGACAGAACATGCATAGCCATAAAAGAGTTTGGCGAGTTTTCATTTTTATTTCTTAAGAGGTTTCTAATCATATCTAATTCAAAATGACCATTTTGTCAAAGTGTGTTAGAAACAAAGGCTGGGCTTCAGTTTGTGCCCTCCTTTTTAATCAAAAGTTTTGTGCTTACTTAAAATTCTTTGCAAATCCTCAGATTGGTCCCAGAAATGCCCCATTTCCAGGGGGCCCCCTGAGTTCAGCCCTAGCTGGAGCTGAACCAGAAATACAAGCAAAATGTCTGGTCTCACCGTCAGACCCGCTCCGATGGTCATGAAAATTTGGAACAAACCAGGCCCCCTCACTTAGATGAATGTGACGTACTTTCAAAAATGGTAAAATTCAGGCCCTGGATGAAATAACTGAGTTTGTAGGCTACTTGTGAAATAAACACACTGTCTTCATTCAGAGTGCCTGCTATCTTGGGAGGGAACGCTAGATGTCACTGCCCCCATGAATACCATACTGGGAATCTCCGTGAAGGGAAAAAGTCTCAGTATTTCTTGTATTCTAAGTGTCTTGATTTTTGCACAGTGGGTTCAGCACTTTACAACCAATAAGACCCAATGATTTTTAGCCAATAATTTTCTAAAAAACTAAATCCATGTAAATAATTCGTATTACTCTTATCGTGAGCATAAGCATTACATTCTACCTTCCTTCTATGACAAACTGGGCAAAAAATCCCTGGCGTGGACATGACACAGGGACATTCAGCCAGTACACACAGGCACAGCCATCCCAGTTGTTGCCACACCAAAATGCTTCCCTGCTAATTCACAAACAGCCACTGCTACAAGCCCCCAAATGTGTCCTATTACATCAACGGCCCCAAACTCTCACCAGGATCCTACAATTAAAGGAGTTACAAATCTGTTCCAACAGGGCAATGGTAGGCAACCTCCCCGACCAGCTGTTGCCACGCCATACAGTTGTTAATTTTTTTTTTTTTTTTTTTTTTTTTTTTTGAGATGGAGTCTCACTCCATTGCCCAGGCTGTAATGCAGTGGTGCTATCTCGGCTCACTGCAAGCTCTGCCTCCTGGGTTCAAGCGATTCTCCTGCCTCAGCCACCTGAGTAGCTGGGATTACAGGCACATGCCACCACACTCGGCTAATTTTTTATATTTTTGGTAAAGATGGGGTTCCACCATGTTGGCCAGGCTGGTCTCGAACTTCTGACCTCAAGTGATACTCCTGCCTCGGCCTCTCAAAGTGCTGCGATTACAGGCGTGAGCCACTGCACCCAGTCACAGTTGTTAAATATTTTTAAAAGCATCCCTGTGTAAGGTACAAATGGATGCAGAAGTAGAGATCTTCTGTTTTTAATCCATTCCAGGCAGCAATGCTTGTTTCCAAATCAGAACCGGGATGTGCTGCCCCCGTTTTAAAAAATGAATTTGAAACCCTGTCGTGGAAACTTTAGCTTGGGTCCCTTTCAGAAGAACTTATACTTCTATAAAAATTCACCTTTCCCACACACTGCCCCCCTGCCTCCAGTTGTGTAGGGGTAAATTTAAATAAGAAATTCTTTTTTTCAGATACGTGAAGTAAACTGGGAATCTTCTGTAGCCAGTGGAAAGACATCAGCACAAGTTGAATCTGTAGAATAATCTTTAATAAATACAAATCAATCAGGAATTAGAGAACATATTCAAATAATAAGTAGCTACCGTATACTGATCAGATACTATACCATCTAAAACTTAGTAGTTTACATGCATTATCTCATTAAAAATTCAGTTATGTGAATAACTTCTACAGGGTCATCCTGCTAATTCTTGGCCACAGATACTCTGTCCTGACTCCAGAGATGGCTCTTCTAGCCATTCTATTATATTTCTTTGCAAGTAGCCTAAAATAGATCAAAGAATAACTTCTCACTCCATACTCCACAGCAATTTCACTCACAAGAGTGGCTCTCAAAGTTTGATGTGTATTGTTGAAAACACACCAATAATGTTAAACACATTTCTAGTAGTAGAGAGTTTTACTAAAGTGCTTTGGTTTGCAGAATAGCTCACATTATGGAAAGAAGTAGGAAAAATAGTCAAGAAACAGGATTTTTTGAGCCCAGAAAAATTAACACCAATTCCCAACATGACTTTCTGGCATCATGAAATGGAACAGCACCAATCTTTCAAAGAGCAAAGAGAAAGCCACTAACAGATTCCGAAAGCTACCAGCCAGCCCTGTGGTTCTACAGTGACTGTGATTCACAGTTATGCACAATTCTATTCCACATACTCTTAAAAATCAAAGGCATGAGAAATCACCGGTTCCACGTCCTGAGCTTAACACGTGAGAAAACCAAGGTCAAAGAGGTTAAAGACTTGCTTTCCTGAGTTGAGTCTCTGCAACTCCAAATCTAAATTCTACCAAGGCGCAGGACCCTTATAAGGAAAGCAGTCCCAGGGGCCTCCTCTGTATCAGTGGTCAGGCTGTGTGTTACAGGACCTGCCGCCAAGGGCCACAGGTGCACGAACCAGAAATGAGTTTTGAACACACTTCTCCAACAAGTGGCATGCTGGTTGCATGAGGCCAGATGATTATCTGTAGAGATGGGATCCTCTATTCCCTTACATCCTTTATGTGCTTCCTCACAAACCCACAAGGCAGAGAAACTTAAACCAGTGCTCAAAGGCAAAAAGTCTAACACATTTGATCCGAGGTCATATATCATAATTAACTATTGCCAGGGCTCTCACTTCCAGTTTGGCTCAGAACCCAAGTCTTCTTTTAATCTGGTGATTTGTAATTGTTTTATGGGCAGAAGGGGGGATTCCAGGTTTTACGTTTTTATTTATTCTGATTTATGTTTAATTCTGATAAATAAACTTAACAAATAGCTGTTCCATATATGACAGGGTTGCACTTGCAGATCTGTGGTGGGGTAAAAAACATTTTATAAACGACCCTGGAATAATTCCTTATCCAAATAGAAAACTTAAAATTAGATTCCTCCTTCATATTACAAACAAAAATAAGCAAACATTTAAAAAAATATTAGCAGTAAATATAAAAGAATATTTCTTACAAGATGAGAAATGGAAAACAAAGGAAAAAATGGTTCAAGTTGACAACATCACAACTTGGTACTCATATTCATGAAAATGCAGTGGAAAACCAACTCATAGACTGGGGGTAGATATTTGCAACACATAAAACTGACAAAGGATTACAGTAAGTATATAAAAATATCTTCTACAAATCAATATAAAAAGCAAAAAAACACAATATATGGCAAAAGGTATCAAGTCAAGGTATAAAAGCAGAAGAGGATCAGACTGACAAAATGGTGAAAGTAAAATATTTCCAAGAGTTCATAAAATGTGGGGGAATGAGAACTCAGATGCTGCTGGTTGAGATGTAAAAATGGCACCATGATTTTGGAGAAGTGCAATATTGAGTAAAGGTAAAAATATGCACACCGTACAACTAAGCCATTCCACTCCAAGGTCGGCCTTAAGCAGAACTTCCCCACTGATTGACTGAGTTGTAGGTGTGCCTGAGATATCAATCTATTCAGCTGTACAAACACCTGAGGCCTGGAGGATTTGGGCCTGTTGATACAGCTGTGAACACCCTGAAAATATTATTTTCTACATATGTCATAATTCAGAAAAGATTGAGAAAGCACTGCCCTAGAGAAACGTCTGCACGTTTGTACCAGAACTAATGCACCTGCATATTTATAATGTCATTGTTGGTAATGGGGAGAAAAAAAAAAAGAAACCACGTAAATAAATATCTGTCAGCAGAAAATGTGATAAGTGAATTGTGTCGCATTCACGCCACGGAATACTCTACTGCATGAAAATGAATGAACTGCTCCATGTGTAACATTACTGATAAATTACAACCATCAGGTTTAGCAGCAAGAGAGGTGTGAGCAGCACACTACAGTATTCCGCTATTTATATAAATCTGAACCCTGTAAATACATCTTACAGGAAAACATCTAAGAATACTCAGTACTATACATTGCTTAAAGAGATACACGTGTATAATAAAAATATTTTAAAACTCACAGAACTGGTTTAAGAAATTTAAGGTAGTCTGCAAGTAGGAAAGAGTGCTACACAAAGGGAAGCAACTCTATTGGCAATAAAAACAAACCCAGCTCATGAAGCTGGGTGATAGGTATGTAATGCTTTACTTTATTATTCTTTGAGCCTTTTTGTATATCTTAAAAGTTGAATGATAAATATTTAAAAATAGAACCAGTCAAGCTACTTACTCATAAATGATTAAATAAAGAATGGGGAATTATGCATTTCAAAGACTAGTTTCCTAGACAATGGCAATGTCCAAGCCTAGTGTCACAAACACGGTGACCCTGCACTTCAAAACCTACTTACTGAGTACCCGGCTTTCTCTTTTCCATCTTCCTCTTTCTCTACCCCTCTGTTTCTCTCACCCTCTACTGCTCTCCTTCAAATCAACTTACTGCATAGCCCTCCGCCTCCAAGTCTGTTTACAACATCAACAGCAAAAATAATAGCTAATAGTCATGGAGGTCTTCCCATGAGCAAAGCTTCATGCTCAGTGCTTCAGATGCTCTCATTTAATCTTCACAGCAATTCTACAAAGTAGCTACTCCAATGGTGTCCATGTATACACGAGGAAGCAGGAATTTACAAAGGCTGAGAAACTTGTCTGAAGGCATGCAGATAAGAAATGGTAAATGCATAATCCCTGTACTCATATTCTGAGTCCAAAAGCCATACGCTTATCAACTACCACTCCACTTTCCATAATGTGCATGCAATATATTATACATATTTTACATTTACTTAAAAGCATTTAAGTTCCTTGATCTCAATGATGAGACAGGTTGAGAGGAAACATTCCTTGAGTTACTTACAGATTTGGGGTCTGTAATAATTAAAGACACATTAATGTTACTATATTTGATGCTAACAATAAATCTAGGAGGTAGAGTCCTTTATTGTAACCAATTTTCAGATAAGGAAACTGAGACTTAGAAAGACAAATAAATATAACTCAGCGTTATACAGGTGGAGAGTGGCAGAACCAGCAATCCAACCAGGTCTTCTCCCTAATCCCTGGGTTCTTAACTACGACATTCTATTTATCGCCTCTACAGATTCATACCACACCCCAACCCCCACCAGCTTCTAAGGCCTATGGGAAAAAAAACCATTCTTCACCTTTGTTCAAAGACAGTTATATAAAGAGTGGTATGCAGTTTCTAATCTCAATGAATTATCATACCATTTATAACTACTCTAAAATTGTTATATGTATACCTACACACACGTGTACCTGCATGTATATACATTTCTCTCCATTCTGGAGCTGCGTTTTCTCTTCCACACACTTAGATTGGCTTAAGATTGACTATAGCCACCACCACGAATGTATTTTCATGCAATCTAAAAGCCTCATTACTCACCTGGCAGGTATCAACTCTGTCCTGCCACGCTCCCAAGTGGAACCACTGGAAATGTGGCATGGCTAGGAAGAGCTGTTCACTTTCAAACGGGGATATGACATTCCCTCCTCCTGTAACTCAAAAGGAGACCTCTTCTCAACCTTAGCAAAGATTCTCTGAAAAATTAGTCTTAAGGGCCCAGTAGTATTCAGAAATACATCCTTTTCTTTCTCCTATCCATTTCAAAATCTAGACATCCACCAAGGAGCTTTTGGTAGTTTGTCAATGACAAACTATCTGAACTAGTATTTTATCTTTACGAAAATATATAGGTCTTGAAAGAATTTTATTTTTTGGACTACGTTTGGTTTGTCCTATTAAACCTGTCCAGAGAAATATTCAACATGTAAATGACTCAAGACAATCAATAATTTTAGAAATACTAATTTCTAAAGTCAAAAAAGACCATATTATGGTGCCCTAAAAGCAAATTTGTCGGCACTACTTAAAACATGAAAATGTTCAAAACATCAAGTTTGGGTATGCTACATATAAAAAAAAATCAATAGCTAATATAGTCAATTCTTCCCAAACCAGCAACACATATTTAATTATAAGTGAAAAAATAACCTGTTTACAAATTTTCAAACAGACCCCTTCATTGCCTGTGTAATACAGCTCAGAATTATTCCAAATATAAGTATCAAGTTGTAGAACCACACAGCTGACGAAAAAGCAAGCTGGAAACATCTGGAAAAGCACATCCTTACTTCTATTTCCTGCTGCAAAAGTCTAAAAATAGACAGACTTTGAGAGTTAAGAGAATACCTTTCTTGAAAATTTAATAACCATTTGTAACTTAAAGCAGAAAGCCCCTGGAGAAACATATCCATCTATCAAAAAAATAAAAATAATAAACTCAGTGCTCCATGCAGGTGATGTTGCCGTCAAACCATTGTTTGCCTAAGGCATATGATTAAAAAAAATTAAGCCACATTTTTCTGTGATAAAAAGTAATTTTTAAGGCAGATTTCCTGGATGCATTAATAAGACATAACATTTACATTATGTTTCACATGCAGTCAAGCCCATTACCTACAAAAGAGGAAGGAAGCAGTTCTGCAGGTAATGTGGAATGGCAGCTAATCTGGAAAAGATTATATTAGTTTTGCATTGCATCATTTAGTTTCTATTTAAATGTGCACATTCAACTTCCAGCGATTTTACAGTCATCAAATGCCAACGATGATGTGCTCCAGAGAATCCCACCAGAAGAACTCAACATCGCCCTGGGTTCATATGTGGATGTATACGCATCAGTTCCTTAGAATTCTTTAGAATTAATACGTGTTCAGGGGCTTTCTCTCTCTAAACGTCGTATCTTCTACCGCTCAGCCCTTCTCTAAAACAGTGTGCTTAAGAGTTGCCTTTCCAGTAGCTGAGATGACTACAGAAAAGGACTTCAGTCCTTTTTCAGGCTGGGCTCCAGTCTGAAAATTTAACAAATAAGGTGAACAAGCAATAAGGAATGAGGAATAACGTCAGATTCATTTTAAAACAATCTTTTTATTTTATTTTATTTTTTTGAGACAGGGTCTCACTCTGTTGCACAGGCTAGAGTGCAGTGGCACGATCATGGCTCACTGCAGCCTCCAACTCCTGGGCTCAAGCAATCCTCCCACCTCAGCTTGCCAAGTAGCTGGGACCACAGGTGTGCACCACCACACCCCACTAATTTTTTAGTTTTTGTATAGATGGGGTCTCACTATGTTGCCCAGTCTGGTCTCGAACTCCCAGGCTCAAGCGATCCTTCCACCTTAGCATGCCAAGTGTAGCTGGGACAACAGCCACATATCACTACATTCCACTAATTAAAAAAAAGTTTTTTGTGTGTGTACAGATAGGGTCTCACTGTGTTGCCCAGGCTGATCTTGAACTCCTGAGCTCAAGTCATCCTCCAGCCTCAGCCTCCCAAAGTGCTGAGGTTACAGGCATGAGCCACTGTGTCCAGCTAAAACAGCCTTTTTGAAGCTCCTTCTAAATGGCTAAAGGCTTATCAGTCCATGGGCTCATTTACCTGTTTGGGTTTTAGGGTTTAGCATTTGTGTTAAAGTGTTTTTATAGTTCCTCTGACAAGAAAGATGCAACTAATATTCGTAGGTTTCTAAAATTCAGGGTTTAAATAGAAACTTGAGATTTTTTAAAAGCAGCACATACAAAGCATACATATGTCAACTTCTACTATGCAGAATTCTACATCAAAACTGTTAATTCACTCTCCTTTTTGCTGGTACAATGATAACTCCTTTTTCATAACGATGATTCTTTTTACTTATTTGTAAACTATTTTTTAAATTGACAAATAGAAACTATATATATAGTATACAATATGATGCTTTTAATAATAATGGTTCTTAAGTAACAAATGAAGCTAAAGTTTTGCTATGTGATATGCAACATGCAACATAATACATCATGCCCATGTACATGTTAAATATATTTGAAAAGAAAGAACAAAAATTAGTCAAAAGGTAAATGAATGTGTGCAATTTTCTAAGCTTTGCAGTACTGCAGGTGTTTACATTACAGATTTAAGTGACACATGATTTCTATATGTTACAAACTTCAATATATTTTGTAACATTCTAGTAATGCTTATTAACTAAGATATATAGTTTCTCCCCCACCCCACCTTATCCATGAGGGATGCCTTCCAAGACCTCTGGTGGATGCCTGAAACCATGGATAGTTCTGATATACTGTTTCTTCCTATACATACACACCTATGATACAGTTTAATTTCTAAGTCAGACACAGTAAGAGATTAACAATAGCTAAAAATAAAATAGAACAATTATTGGCTGGGTGCAGTGGCTCATGCCTGTAATCCCAGCATTTTGGGAGGTCATGCCTGTAATCCCAGCATTTTGGGAGGCAGAGGTAGGCGGATCACCTGAGGTCAAGAGTTCAAGACCAGCTTGGCCAACATGGTGAAACCCTGTCTCTACCAAAACTACAAAAATTAGTCAGGTGTGGTGGCTCACGCCTGTAGTCTGAGCTACTAGGGAGGCTGAGGCAGGAGAATCACTTGAACCCGGGAGGTAGAGGTTGCAGTGAGCTGAGATCATGCCACAGCACTCCAGCCTGGGTGACAGAGTGAGACTCTGTCTCTAAATAAATAAATAGAAGAATTATAACAATATACTGTAATAAATGTTATGTGAATGTCGTCTCTCCCTCAAAATATTTTATTGTACTGTACTCAAGTTGACCTCGATTAACTGAAATCTTGAAAGAAAACCATGGATAATTGGGAACTACTGCACCAATCCCTCCCCAACAGTGGACTTAAAACTTTGGTTGGCTTAATGCTTACACTGGCATGTCTTACTTCACCTTCCAGCGAAAAATGGAGCCCGGCATTACCCTCCCCACTTTGCTTGCTAAGCTGCAGTGCAGAAGGCACCACTACTGCGCCCCCCAGCATGCTTTTTGGAGAGGACTGGAGCACACTGGGACGTTCATGTGAGAATCTGCATGTGCCCCTTTCTGGAATTTGAGGGAAGTACATGGACGCAGCCTGCGTCTTGCTCCTACATTTCCTTAGACATGTCTGAAAGCCAGAGAGTGGCTGGCTGGAGCAGTTGGTCCCATCGGGGAAAAGAAGGAACATGCACAGCATGAGGGGAATGGGAGAGAAAGAAGTGACTGCACAATGCTGCTGTTTCTGTGGCTCCATGTGACACAATACACAGGTGGGAGGATGAGGTGGACATAGTAGGGATGCCCAGGCAATAGCCCGAGCAGTGGATGCCCCATCTGGAGAGAGGAAGTCAGGGAAGAGGACTGCCTTCAGGAGACAAAGGAGATACAGCTATGTGTCTCTAAGAATCCTCATGGATGATGGCCATGCGCAGTGGCTCACGCCTGTAGTCCCCAGCACTTTGGGAAGCTGAGGCGGGTGAATCACCTGAGGTCAGGAGTTTGAGACAAGCCTGGCCAACATAGCGAAACCTTGTCTCTACTAAAAATGCAAAAATTAACTGGGCAGCCATGGTGGTGCATGCCTGTAGTTCCAGCTACTTGGGAGGCTGAGGCATGAGAATCACTTGAACCCGAGAGGTGGAGATTGCAGTGAGCCAAGATTGCACCACTGCACTCTACCCTGGGTGACAGAGCAAGACTCCATCTCAAAACAAACAAACAAAAAAATTCTCATAGATGGAGAGGGCCTGGGGAGACTGAAAACCGTAGATTCTCTCTCCCTGGACCCACCCCACAGAGGTAAGCATCAACAGATGGAACCCTTGCAAATTGGAGCAAGAACAAAGATGCCTTCCTGTCTCTGATGGGTTGTAGAAACTCTTTGCCTCCTTGACTTCTGATCTAAATCACTGGAGGAGTTAGGTTTTGATGAGGAGCAGGGAACATTGAAACACTACCCTCTTCTCTCCACTCCAGTAAGCTGGAATAGAAGAAAGAATTGAAGATCAGGCCAAGGACCCCATCCAATTCTAAGACTCAGAAGTGTGGTTTGGAGGTCATGGAGATCAGATTTCATTCATATTTGTGAATGGAATTTTAAGCTGCATAGAATTTTGTTGTTTAAATCCAAAATGACTGGTACATTAAACAATACACCAAATATTAAGAAAATGTGCTCACCCAGTGGAAAAGAAAGAGCTGTCATGGCACACAGTTAGAGGCATTGAATGGAAATAAAAATAGTAAAATTCACAGATTTTTGACTGTTCAACAAACTAGTCATGCGCATCCTCTATGCATATATAGACAACAATAACAGCTACCATTTACGAGTGCTCGCTGGGCTAATTGCTGCGCTTAGTACTTTATAAATCCCATTCAATTCTCACAATAACTATATGAGTTAGGTATTAGTGTCCCCATTATACGGATGAGAAAACTGAGGCTAGCAAAGGGATGTAACCTTCCCAATAGTGCAGAGGTAGTAAGTTAATGCTCAAGTCTTTCTGATTCAAAGGACCATGCTTCTAACCACTGGACAGATAACTGTCATGTTAATAACATATGTTGAAAGGAAAGTCCAGGAAATTTCTATTCAATGATACAGATCTTAAGAATTTTTTTTTAAAAACCCTCAAAAACAAAAAACACTTGACATCTACAAATGTATAAACATTAGAGAGTTTGGAATATAGAGTCTTGGGCATGAAAGCCAGACCTTTTTTTTTTTTTTTTTCTGGTAAAGTTTAAGGAATCCAGCAAGAAGTGAAGCATTTTACCACTAGTAGGAACTCATTAAATATTTGTGGCATTAAAATGAAATGAAGCCTACTCTTGAAATTGACTCTATACAGAAAGTACAGTATGGAATGCATATGTGATCAGAAGCAATAACATGTATATTCATTTACTCAACAAGTACTTTTGAATGTTTACTGTATTCTAGGCTGTTTGTCTGGATATCACCAAGTTCTGAATGTATAACGGTAAACAAAACAGGTAGTGTACTTGCCCTCGCAGAGCTTAACACATCCAAATCTATCATGCCATAGTTTTGTTATCTCACTAAATCCAGAGGTTAAATGATTTTGTGGCCTAAGGCCACACATAAAATGTCAGAGCAAAAATTACAAAGCAGGAAATTTGAATCCTATGACAGGTTTAACTTTGAAGAAACTAAATTTTAAAAGAAAAACTATCACTTTCAAGAAAGAAAATAAAAGATTCTGCTTTTGTCAATTAGAGCAAGATTTCCTTATCCCACTGATATTTCAAATAGCCTGGTTAACAAAGGCACAATTCACATCTACAAATAATGTTAGGTCCACCTATTCTACTTAGTAACGGGTGTTTAGTGGTGATGTGTCATTTCATGCTAGACTTTGTTGGTTAATGTATAATCAATATGTTTCATTATAAGGTCAGTCATGAAAAGCATAAATGACACTTTATACAAAAGTTTACATGCAGTGGCTGCAAACACACCATAGCAACAGGGAGAGATTGATGAAAAAGGTTTGGTTTCTATAGCAACTATCGTAGGGACCATCTGTAAGCTGAACTGCAGCAACGGAAGCAAAATGAACACTTTAAAAGTCTGCAGTAGGTCTCTTTGTCTATTTAAACATAATGTTAAAATTAAACGTTTTTTCTCCTATAAGGATAAGCTTCCTCTTTTATTTGCCATTTTGCAATCTGATTGCTTTTTTGTTTGAATGAGCCTGTTTTTATTGAAGCTTATAAATCCAACCTTTACAAAAACGACTGTATTTTCCTACTGAAACTTCTATGCACAAATGAACAATCACAAACACAATTGGCAAAAGCAGAGAAACATGGATTGTGAAAAATTTTAGTATATTTCAAAAGACAGACTATAAAATGCTATTATAAGAACTACGGTTCTTTATTTAGTATCTTTTTTTTTATTCCAACAACCTGCTTTTCATAACAGTCACCACTAGCAAAAAGCAGAGGGAAATTACAACACAATTACTTGTTCATTCTTCATTACCATATATGTAATTGTGTTGTTCCCTCTACAGCCTCCGCTAAAATAATCAACGATCACTCGCCCCGTTATGTTTCTCTATGTATATACACACATACATATGTATGTACGTGTGGGTGTTTATTTATTCATGTTTCCCCCTCATTAAGTCATCTTTTTTTGAAGGTACTCATTGATGTAATGTGGAAAAATAGAGCATTTTAATCTTGAATAAAATTGCTACCTTTATAAGGAAAGCTTTTCTGCTCTCACTCACGGTGTGTTACCCAAAGGATACAAAGGACAAGAGAAAGCTGTAAATATCAAACAAGGAAAAGTGACTAATGCCAGCCAAGGTACAAAACCCTTTTTCAGATAGAGGGGTCACTTTTCACAGCATCCATGCTAACCTGCCCGGCTTGTAAAGTTGCCATGCTGCAACCACAGCTTGGCTGGTATTTAACTACTCTGTGATATCATTCGGCTATAATTTCGACTCTCCAAGCATCTGCCTGTGTCTACTTCAAGCTGGCTGACCAGAATACAGATGAAAGAACAAAATTTTCACTAAGAATTGGATCTAGATGCTGTGGCATATTCCTGTGTCTCTTTTGTACCCATGAGGTACTGCAGAATATTGCAGAAACCTGCTTCAGACCCTGTAGTCTGATATTTTCAAAGAGTGAGTGACAGAATCTTAAAGCATCAATCAAGGAAAATGTTCAGTGATGGCTCGCTTAATGGGGACTCTGTTAACAGCTTTCCCAGTGATGAAAATCCAGTCTTGCTTAACAACAGAGATAATAGGAAACTGACTGAATTATACAGTGTCAGTCTGTATGTCAAGAAAGGGAATTTCAGCATAAAAATGTCACAGATTACAAAGTATGTGCTTCCTGAAACAAAGACAGAAAGGCAAAGAACTTGCTATTTCTTGACGTTACTACATTCCAGATGGATCTTACTCCACAGCCACAACACAGAAGAGATAAACATTCCAAAATAGAACCTGAGAATGGTTCTGGAACTATAGACACTGGCTCAACCTTTTCAATTCATGCCATTGGGCGGCCAATGACTGAGAAATTACTCTGTTCCAGGAACTATACTAAATCCTTAAACTATATCATCTCTAATTTGCTTAAGCCCTTATAGATTGTGTATTATTATCCTTGCTTTACAGATGAGAATGTGAAGTTTTTAAAGGAGTTAAAAAAAAACTTGAAGTAAACAGATGAGCTGATACTTACACCGAGGATATTTTTGACCCCAAAATCCCATGGTTTGGTCCCTATAATATATGGTGGCTCATTTGAGAGTTAGAGAAACCAAGGCCCAGAGAAGATCAGTATATGTACTCAATCATAGCCAGAGAAGAAACTAGAAATTCGATCTGTGTAACCGAGGATCCTCATCATCCAAATCACATAAGATAACCTTCACAGTTCTGCTTGACACCACCCAAGGGAAAGTCAATAGGGTTATCTCCAGCAATACTGTGATGGCTTCCAAATTCACCTCTTTTTGTGTGTTGTCAGCCAACTTTTTCACTGACTTCCTTCACCAGAGAAAGTCAATTCCATTTTAAGGGTCCAAAGCATGTACTCTTCCCTCTCTAATCAAACTACCACCAAAATAGGGAACTGTCTATTAACACAGAGCTGGTAAAATGTTGGTGAAAGGGCACTTTCATAAAAATTAGAATCTTACTCATTTTCTTCCTGGCTACATAATGAAAGATTTTGTCACTTGTTGAAGAAATTATGAGAATTAAAGCAGATGAGAAGGTAGAGAACAGGGATCACTGAAATTCCACCTGTTCTGTAGCATTTGGCTCTCAAATTGTATAAGACATTTTAAAAATGTCAGGGAGAGATTTGTTAAAGGACACAAAATTACAGCTAGATGAGAGGAATACATTCTGGTGTTCCAGAAGACTGCAGGATGGTTACAATTAGTAATAATATGTTATACATTTTAAAATAGCTGTGAAGAGGAGATATTGAATATTCTGTTCAAGAAATTAGTGTTCAAGAAAACGGATATGCTATCGCCCTAATCTGATCATTTCTATATTTTATGTATTGAAACATCACTATGTACCTTATAAATATGTAAAATTATTATGTGTCAATTAAAAACAACACATAGAAATGATACTGGCCCATGCCTGCAATCCCACCACTTTAGGAGGCCAAGGTGGGAGGATCACATGAGGTCAGGAGTTCAAGACCAGCTTGTCCAACATGGTGAAACCCCATCTCTACTAAAAATACAAAAATTAGCTGGACCTGGTGGCGCATGCCTGTAATCCCAGCTACTTGGGAGGCTGAGGCAGGAGAACTGCTTGAGCCCAGGAGACGGAGGTTGCAGTGAGTCAAGATCATGCCGCTGTACTCCAGCCTGGCTGACAGAGTGAGACTATGTCTCAAAAAAAAAAAAAAAAAGATACTGGACCCTATTATAAGGCAGGTATGTGAGAAATCGATCAGGACTACTGTTTTGAAAATTCTAATGAACAACCAACCACAGTGGCTAGAAAATGATAGTGCTCACTATACGTCCATTGAATGAATAAAATAGTAATGCATAGATAAAATGTTCCCAGTAGTAAGTTATTAAGAAATACACAAACATATAACTCTCCTAGAGGGGCATTAAAATGATCACCCAATAGAATTAATTTGGCCATAAAATGGAAGCCAGTGAACGTTAGCCCTATTATACTATTGAAACCAAATTCTTACTGCACAGAGTTGGTATAGATGTCATGGAGGTAAATTTCAACACAAAAAATAAATGTAGTGCAAAGATCTGTTTCTAGAAGCTAAGGCATTCCAGATGGAGCTTCCTTCAGATATGTGGGCATTAGAAAACAACTTCTAAATGGCAATTACTCATTTCCCTATCTCTTAAATTTTTCTTACTTAAGAAATGGGGGCAAGTGACTGCTACTTGGCAACTATAAAATTATTGTAAAAGTGAATAAATTTGATGAAGTTACAAGTTTCTTAGAAAAATCTGGTATAAGAAGACTAAATGCATCAATTTTTTAAGCAGTACTTCTACCGCGGGGAAAAAGGTAGACTAATTCCTCTAAGCAGATAAAATAATAAACAATGCAATTGTACAGAAAACATACCTAATAGTAATGAACACAATGGATCATTTTTACTGGAAGTTTTAAATTTTATTATTTTAAAATATTTACTTTTATAAAAAATTTATTATTTATATTTATGCTCATTCTTATGCACTAATTCAATCAGATTTCCCCTTCCTTTCATGAATGGAAAGGAGCCATATTCCAATTCATGTAAGTCATAAGATATACCAAAGATTACACCAAGCAGAATGAGTTTTAAATTAGTACAATATATGGATTACAGAAGTCAAAATATCCTCAATTCTTTCACAATTGCAATAATGAAGATCTTCAACACAAAAAAACTTTTTTTTTGAGTATAATTAATGTAATACCTACAAAAAGATGTCTAAATTAATGGCACAAATGCAAATGATCACCCTAAGTGCTTTTCAATTGTTGTCACGTATTTAGTATTTTTAAACAATGTTGGAACTTTTTAGTAATTTTTAGGAACAATGTTTTAAAATGTCCACTGTTCAAGGATGTCTGTTTGATTTTTAAAAACAAAAACTAAATGAAGTGTTTGATTTGAGAAGCCACTATTATCTTACTTGATTCTTTTTTGCTCATCTTTGTTTACAACAATACAGACACACACACACACACACACACACACACACACACACACACACAGTTTCATATACAATGCATTGCAAACTCTACAGGTTGCTTCTACCTTAAAATGTATACAGATCCCAACCGCTTCTTCCCAATTCTCCACCAATGTTCTAGACCAAGCTACCATCACACTTCGCCTGAACTATTAGTACTGTAATAGCTTCTTCTCTGGTTTTCCTCCTTCCAGTCTTGCTCCCTCAAAATCTCTTCTCCATACAGAAGACAAAGTAATTATCTTACAGTATATATCACGTCAGATGATTACCCTAATCAAAGTCCATCAAAGGCATTCATTTCACTTAGAATTAAACTGAACATCTGGTATACCTTATAAGATCTGACATTATCCAAACCCTTATCCCTTGACAATCCTGTCTCCTATTACTCCTTCTCCATCAGTGCACTCCAACCATGCTAGCCTTCTGGCTCTCTCTCAAGCCTACTAAGCAAGACTTCTCTCCAGGGCTTTTTCTCATGGGGTTCCATCTGCCCCATGTCATCTCGGGGAGGTTTACTCAGAACTTTGCTCAGAAGCCTTCTCTGGTCACCCTACCTTCAAAATATCAGCCCAATGTCCTCTCACCCTTCTCTGCTTTTCTTCCTAGAAGTTGGCATTACATGACATTTTATTAAATATTAATTTGTTTATTGTATGTCTCTCCACTAGAAATATAAGCTCACTGATGGAAGGGACTTGGTATATTCTTTGTTGCAATTTCTAGAACCTTGAACCATGCCTGTGCATAGTAGTTTCTCAGTAAATGTTTGTACTAATTATTTACTTTAGACTAATTTTCAAAGAGCTGGATGGTACCTTCACAGTTTCAATGTGCCTATCATGCTTTTTTGCTAGTACTTTTCTCAGCGGACACATATCAACATACTTATTAGCACCTATGAGTTGCAAGGTGCTAACTCAGGCATTAGGAGAATCACGAATGCATCTAATTTTACTTCTAGGGAGACTGAAAAAAAGATAAATTTAAATGAGACATTATCCAACATTGCAAAACAATCTAAGTTGAATGCCATGCTATATTAATGAGTGAATTTTAACATTCGGAATATTTACATTTATATTTGGAATAGAAGTAAATTGATTCAAACTAGAGTGGTCATGCAATGCGTCAGGGAGAATGGAAGGTGGATCTTGAAAGCAAGCTTAGAACTTTGACACATACAGGGAAGGAAAGCAGTCATGCTGGGTGGAGGAAATGAAAGCGTGGAAGTAAAAGTGTGGGCATACATTATCAGAGCATGAGTAGAAAACCAATTTGGCCAAAACCCAGCTTTACTTTCCAAGAGGGTTGGAAGATGAATCTGCAAGAACAAAATGGGATTGCTTGAACAGAGGTCTGAATGTCAGGCTATTTTCCAGTAGACAATGGGGAGTCATTTAACATTTTTCATCAATGTCATATCATAAATGTCATGCTTCAGAGCAATGACTCCAGTGACACACCATGGAAAGGAACAGAACAAGGCATGCCCAAAAAAGTAGCACCAACTAGGAAGCTTTGCAGAGTGCAGCGTGGTGAAGATTGATGGCTACTAGCCCCAAGAATCTTCCTATGAGATTTACATATACCCCCAGGTGCCCCCGGTATGAGCTTTACATATATCAACTACTATATGAAATATGGGGTACTGTTGGGAACATATGAGCTTTAAATATATATTATACTATTAACATATATTATTGCATATATTAACTCAAATATTAATTCATTTGAGTTAATATATGTTAATATATTACTTATATGTAATATATGTGATGTTAATATATTACATACATGTAATATGTGTGATATGTAATATATATTAATATATTACATATATGTCATATGAATATATTACATGTTAATTATGTAAGTTAATATGTTACATACATTAACATTTATTATTTATGTATATTTTCTGTATATTATGTAAATTTATATTGTTACTAATATATAATATACAAAATATATAATGTTAATTATAATTAAGTATATTGATTATAATACAATTAATTGACTATATATTAACCATTAATATATATTCATATATAATTTATAAAATATATAAATAACATGTTAATATATGCAAAGCTCATATATTTCCAGCAGTACTCCACATTTCTTTCAGGTGTCCACCCATCCTTCATAAGAGGCCTCACGCCCCAGGAGACGTTGATCTGACTGTTTTTTTGGCTCAAAGGAATCCCATTCTCCCTGTCACTTGTCTGGTCCACAAATCCAGCTGTAAGTTACTCAGAACATGGCAATGCTCTGACTATGGGAATTGGTTCAGGAACCGGCATGTGGCCCAATTCTAACAATGAAATACAAAGAGAGGTTTCCTAGAAACTTCCAGGAAAAGCGCCCTCTTAAGATGCACTTTGGATGTCATCGTGGCCTAATATGAGGATCTGAAATCCTATAACCATCACACTGTTGGCTGAAGGAGGACAGAGCCAGGAGAATCACAAAGAAACACACTGGGGTGCTTGGATTAAGCCTGTGTTGGGGCCTGCTTTATCTCTGGACTTTCAGTTCTGTCAGCCAATAAAATTCTTTATTGCTTAAGCCAGGTTGAGTTGTATTTTCTGTTCCTTGCAGGCAAAAACATTCTAGCTGATATAACTTAGGCATGAAATAATAATGAGTGTCTGGAGTAGGTTATAGGCCAAGAGCTAGAGAGGATGAGAAGGAAGGGATTTGCTCATTCAGGAAGCATTTACTGAGTGTTCCCTGTGGGCCAGGCCCAAATGCTAGGTGCTAGAAGAACAAGACGAGGAACGAAACACAGGCCTGCCATCAAAGAGCTCTGTATCTGATAACTATCAACCAATGTCATGATCATTATAGGGAAGCACTGCCCAGGGGGCTAAGAGGCATAATGAGGTTCCCTATGGGGAGTGAAGAGAGAGAATGAGAGGCAGAGAGAAGAAGAGAAAAGGAGAGAAGAGAAGAGGGGGAGGAGAGGGGAGGAGAGGAGGGGAGAGGAGAAAGAAGCCCAACAGGGCATCCTGAATTCAACAATAGCAAGAAAAACTCAGGATGGGCTGGATCAAAAGACACTGAAAAATCCAGGAAGACAAGGAAATTGACTAGTAATTGAAGGCCAGTTACCTGGAAAACAATTGTTCTAAAGTCTCCCTAAATTACTTTTAGGAGAAAGTGGTTCACACACACAAAAGGCATTTCAGTCACAGTGATGGCATTAAAGAAAAAGATAACCCCCTTTGGAAGGAAGATGAGTTTGTTTTAGACACCAGTGAAATGAATAGATGTGATAAAAGTTAAGTCTTGCATCAGTAAGTGATTGGCACACAGGGAGCAGTCAAAAATGTTTCTTTGGCCAGTGCAGTGGCTCATACCTGTAATCCCATCACTTCGGGAGGTTGAGGTGGACAGATCACTGGAGTCCAGGACTTCGAGACTAGCCTGGGGAACATGGCAAAGCCCCTTCTCTACAAAAAATTCAAAAATTTAGCCAGGCATGCTGGAGCACCCCTGTAGTCCCAGCTACTCGGGAGGCTGAGGTAAGAGGATCACTTGAGTCCAGGAGGTGGAGGCTGCAATGAGCCATGACCAGGCTGCTGCAATGAGCCATGATCAGGCCACTGCACTCCAGCCTGGGCAACAGAGCAAGACCCTGTCTCAAAAAAAAAAAAAAAAAGTTTTGTTGGTGGTGGTGCTGCCATTGTATTGTTAAACAGCTTAGTAGTGTCGGTTAAAGTCAACTTTGAAGCCACATAGTGGGTACAAACCCCACAGTTACAAGCCATGTAATTATAAGCAATTTACTTAATCTCTGTGTCACATCTGTAAAATAAGAATAGTAATAATAATATTAGCTTCCTTTTGGCAGGGATACGTTGTGGATCAAATGAGTTAATATGTGTAAAGCTCATGCAAAACAGAGCCTGGGGACATAGTAAGTGCTCAGTGCTGGCCATCACTAGGGTTACTATTGCTGCTGAGATTCACAGAGAGAGAAATAAAGAATTTTAAAAAGGAATCACAGAGATCCAGATAAAAGCTTGTTTTGAAGACTACAGATGCATTTTAATTAATGAAACAAAGAAGAGTATGCTCTGTACCAAAGAGTTGACTCTGATGACAAATGCAAGTTCATAGACATTACACAGAAAGCGACAGCTTTTACTGCTTTTTTTCTTCTTCTGCAACAACTCAAGGAGAAATGGACCAGTGTCAGAACCAGTCCACAGATTGAGGGGTGAGCCCCACCACTTATCAACGAATGCAGGTATCACAGTGACAAAGAGCCATCTCTGCCTGGTCAGGCACCGACAGTCTGAACAGTCTAAAGAACAGAGAACATTCTTGGCACGTGCATCCCAGCATTGCTGCGCATCTCTCTGGCCGAGAGCCAGGAGCTCATAATCCACGCTCTCTTGATGAGTGGAATGCATTTATGAGACATTTACCAAAAGCTGAGACACAATCTGTAACCCCAGCACAAAGTGAATCTCGTTGACCCACCCAGAACTAGAACTGGGATCTCGCCTGATTGGTCCCACTTGATACCCCCTGAGAGATCAATTATCCCAGAACCTCTCTGATAGCTGGGGTGGGTCAATGTGTGTTGATGGGCTTGTATGTGTAAGCATTTCCTCAACTGGTATGAGAATATAGTGCTGGGCGCTTCCGTTTGAAGCACTGATTCTGTCTTCCTCTGTTTACATTGGAACTTCTCCTGTGGCATGTAAAGCCTCAAAATATGCACTTTTATATAAACTTACTAAACTGCTAACAACTGTTTAATGACTGCCTAAAATAGCTGGAGTGAAAAAGAGCAAAGCCCATTACATTTTGGGAAAGCATTCCTGAGGTCATCTTAAACTCTCCTTTGCAGTAGCTGGATATTTAAAGAAATGCCATATCTTCATTATACTTGGTCATATATTTTTAAACTCTAAGGAAAAAAAATTTGAGACCATACACATCCTAAGAATCAGCCTCATTGAAGGTCTCCAAATGCTGAATTTAGAGCTAAAAGTTTGAAACCAGAGCAATTCTTATTTCTGAAATGAATCTTCTGAGAAACTGGAAATCAACATCACTATAAAGTGAATGGACATCATGATGTCGAAACTGTATTCCATGTCACATGACTGGAACTGCTAAAAACATAATTGTAGGAATGTTCGTTTCATAAAACACAGACTTCAGCACAGAATTTTGTAAAAGGCCTGCAAAGATAAGGTTGAATCTGGATATTTTCTCAGGGACAAAAAGACTCCAATTCTCATCTTTCAAGTGAAAATCTTCTAATAGGAGACACTAAACAAAATATATCTCCCCCACACCCATCTATTGCCTCAGCTGTGATTGCCTGTCCCAGAATGAACAGGTCTGATTTAAAAGAGGACATCACAGAGAGGAACCTGATAAACTTAAAGCCTTTGTTGGTTGCCCTCAGGGCACAACACCAGAAGCCCATGGGGTACCTGATAATTACAAATTGTCTGAGCTATAAAGATGTCCAGAATCTTCTAGAAGCCCCTTCTAGAAGATTCTAGAATCCCTGACAAACTGAGCTATAGCCTACAGTCTTTACAACTTTGAGTCTCATTGTCAGGTAAATTGGGAAGATTTGGTTCACTCCCACCTGGCTTCCTTCAGCTGGGGGGCCTGGAGTTGCTGACAGCCCTAGGGGCCTAATTTTCACCGTCATTCATTAACCAGTTGCAACTGCAAAGACATCTTAGTGTATTGAGCAAAGTGAAGGAGACAGATGAACATCAAGAGATGACTGTGAAAACCTGGAAGAGCAGGGACTCAGATGACAGGAAAGGAACCACAGCAGTGAGCTCAGAGGCATGGGGCATCTCTGTCTGGATAAACTCTGATTGAGAGAATCCTTCATACTCAACTCCTTCCAGACTGTGCTCACACCACAGCTTCTCCAAAAGGTCTACCCCACTTTCCCCAACCCAATACTCCAGAAGCTTTCTATCCTGGTCTACTTTTTCTTTTTATTTTTTTCTGTAGCACTTATCACCTCCTAACATACCATAGGATGTATTTATTAAGCTTATTGCTCAATGTCTATCTTCCCCTGCAGAATGGAAGCTCACAAAAGCAACAAGCTTCATGTGTTTGAGTGACTGATGCTTCATGAGCACCCAGAGGAGTACCCAGCATATAATCAGGATGCATACATATTTACTGAATAAATGAATGAATCTAGGAGTTTATCTGTTTGTCCAGAAAGCTTTAGTTTCCTTTCTACAAGCACTCCTCCATAGCCCACCAGCTCACTCCATCTTCAAGGAGAGAGGGCTGTAGTGAGCCCCTCAGAGGTAAAACACACATCAACCCACCACACTAGAGTGGGGAGCTCAGATGCTGGCCAAGAGAGTAAAGCCTTGGGTTCCAGAAGGGAGTACTGCCCTGCAGAGGCCCTTCTGGAATCTATCTCCTTGGAGATTTCTTTTCTAATAGCTAGCATAATAAGGTGGGCCTGGTTTTCCTTCTACATTAAAAGGGCCTTTTCCTTGAGTGGAAACCAGGAATGGCCTAATAAAAAGAAGCCACCTGCACTTCACACCCACAGGATGGCTATAATCGAAAAACTAGAAAATAATAAGTGTTGGCAAAAATGTGGAGAAATTGGAATGCTTGTTTATTGCTGGGGAAAATGTATAATGATTCAATCACTGTAAAAAAAAAAAAGCTTGACACTTTCTCAAAAAGTTACACACAGGATTATTATATAATTTATTATATATTTCAAAATAGCTAGAAGAGAAGATTTGAAATGTTCCCAACACAAACAAATGACAAATGTTTGAGGTGATGGATATGCTAATTACCCTGATTTGATCATTATACATTGTATTCAAATGTATCAAAACATCACATGTACCCCATAAATATGTACAATTATATATGAATTGTAAATAAAGAATTATCACATGACCCTGCAATTCTATTTCTACGTATATATCCAAAAGGATTGAAAACAGGGACTCAAACAAGTACAGATACATAAATGTTCATAGCAGCTCAATTCACAATAGCCAAAAGGCAAAAACAGCCCATGTCCATCAGTGGATGAATGGATAATTTGTGGCACACAAATATTATGATGATAATACTATAAAATATCATTCAGTCATAAAGAAGAATGAAGTATGGCTGCAATGTGGGTGGTCCTTTAAAAAATTACGCTACATAAAAGAAGCCAGACACAAAAGGTTACATGTTGTCTAATTTCATTTATATGAAATACCCAGGATAAATAAATCCATAGAGACAGAACACAGATTGGTGGTTGCCAGGGCCTGGGGGATGGGAAGGATAGGAAGAAATTGCTTAATGGGTAAGGAATTTTACTTAGGTGTGGCGGAAATGTGTTGGAACTAGAAAGAGAGAGTAGTTACACAACATCGTGAATGTATTTAATGCCACTGAATTGTCCACTTTAAAATGGTTACAGGTGGTGGCTCATACCTGTAATACCAGTGCTTTGTGAGGCTAAGGCAGGAGGATCACTTGAGCCCAGGAGTTGGCGGCTACAGTCAGCCATGATCACACCACTGGACCCCAGCCTGGGTGACAAAGGGAGACCCTGTCTCTAAAATAATTAATTAAAATAAAAATAAAATGATTAATTGTATGTTACATAAATTTCACTTCAATGAATTATAATACATGAATGAATGAATGAATGAACGTAAGTCTGATGCCACTCAGGCCTGCCTGGTACAGACAAAGAATCCTTGAAGGTTCAGGTGATGAAATCCACTGGTGCTTTGATCCAAAGCTATACCAAACAACAGACTGTACCTTTGTCTGGCCTTGTTCTTGTTGCCTCTGCATTTGCTGGAGATCAGAGGAGACGATTTTTTCAGGATTCACTTATCTAGCATCCTAGATTCCTGCCTCAAGTCTTTCCATTTCACTTGTACCTTATATTGATATGAGGGCACACTTTAGTCCTTTTTACCACTGTGGACATCACCATTTGACCCAGCAATCCCACTAATGGGTATCTACCCAGAGGAAAAGAAGACATTATATTAAAAAGACACTTGCACACGCATGTTTATAGCAGCACAATTTGTAACTGCAAAAATATGGAACCAACACAAATGTCCATGAATCAATGAGTGCATAAAAAAA